>NC_000020.11:4914819-5066335 GCF_000001405.40 Homo sapiens | reverse complement strand
CTTTTCTGGGATGCTCCAGAACTCTAGGAGGACAAAAAAGCCCTTCATGTCCAACATTAGAGGAAGGCAGCATCCTCCAAAGAAGAGTGACTCACCCTGACCAGCTGGCAGAGAAGCCCAAGGCCAGGCCCTGGGATGTGGAGAGCCAGTCCCAGCCTGGTCTGGAAGGAGGCGTGCCAGGGTGGCAATGATGCATCACCCACGTGGTTTACTGGCCTTGACTAACCTGACCATGACTTAGCAAAGCTGTGAGGTTTCCCAGTCTGGGCCAATATGGGTGTGCGGGTAGAATACAGCCAGCATGGGGAGGCGAAGGCCTGAGCAGCATGCCAAAACCGGGAACTTGTGGCCTCCTTCGCCATCACCGCAGCCCCTCTCCACCCTTCCTCACATCAGCCCCTGCTTCCCCGGTCATTCCAGGGACGGGGGTCTCCAGTGCAGCCCACTCCTCGTCATGGTATTACTCCAGTACAACTCCAATCTGACCTACAGTTTTGGTGTTTGGCATGGCAGGGGCGTGATCCCTACTACATACAACCAGTGAGTCACAGACCTTTGGTCCAGTCTGTGGACTGGTCACTTCCTGTCCTTCATATGAGCTCCCACAGAACCCGGGTCCTGCTCCAGAGCCCAGGCGTTAGACAGGCCCTGGCCTTAACCCGGTTATCTCAGAGGCATCCCACATGCGTCCAGGACACCTGGGAAGCTGGTGGTAGTGAGGAGTGAAGGGCAGTAGGGGGCCTCTGCTCTGGCCCCCTGGCTTCCTGCAAGCCAGGAAAATAGGCCCCACTCACAGCCACTTCTCCCCTGCTGGCTAGCCTCAAAGAGATCATTAGAGGGACTTTGCTGCCCATAACAACAAGGACCATTGGTGAAAACAAGCAGCTCAGGGAAATGGATCATGGAAATCACAGAAACAGAGATTTCTCTGTTCCCATCCCCTAAGATCACCAGTGCCCCTGCTCCTGACAATTGGTCACCTCTCAGCCAACATCTGAGCCTCTGGTGTCCCTTCCTTGTGACAGAGTTCATGATACTCATGGGTTATTTCAATGCATTGGGAAGTTAATCTTTTTTTTTTTGAGAGATGGGGTCTTGCCATGTTGCCTAGGCTGTTCTCAAACTCGAGCTCAGGTGATCTTTCCCACCTCGGCCTCCCAAAGTGCTGGGATCACAGGTGAGAGCCACCACACCTGGCTGAGGAAGTTAGTCTTTATAATGAGACTAAACCTGCCTTCCTATATTTTTCATCTTTTCATGTGCTTATTGGATATTTGCATTTCATTCATGGAAAAAAAAAGATATCTTTTTGGTTTTTGTTTTTTTAATAGAGATGAGATCTCACTTTGTTGGCCCAGGCTGGTCTCAAACTCCTAAGCTCAAGTGATCTTCCCACCTTGGTCTCCCAAAGTGCTGGGATTACAGGCATGAGCCACCACGCCTAGCCCCTGGTATTTTTTTAATCTGTACAAGTATCTGTACTTTGGTTTTCTTTCTTACTACAAATGCTATCTTTGTTTTCAACTCTTTTTTTTCTTTGATCACCTTTTTCAAAAATGTCCATTTTATTATTTTTCCTTCATTGAATTAGCATTTGGTTTGATAAAATTTATTATTGAGTTTTGTTTTCATTTGATTTATTTTTGTTTTCATCTTTAGTAATTTTTGCTTATACTTCCTTTGGACTTATTTTGCTATTCACTTGTCAGCCTCCTAGGTAGAAAATTTAATTTACTTAATGTCAGTCTTTTTTTATTTTGAGACGGAGTTTCGCTCTTGTTGCCCAGGCTGGAGTGCAATGGCGTGATCTTGGCTCACCGCAACCTCCACCTCCTGGGTTCAAGCGATTCTCCTTCCTTAGCCTCCCAAGTAGCTGGGATTACACCCACGCCCCACCACACCCAGCTAATTTTGTGTTTTTAATAGAGATGGGGTTTCTCCATGTTGGTCAGGCTGGTCTTGAACTCTCGAACTCAGGTGATCCACCTGCCTCGGCCTCCCAAAGTGCTGGGATTACAGGCGTGAGCCACTGCACCCGGCCTGATAATGTTTTTGTTTTTGTTGTTTTTGAGATGGAGTCTTGTTCTGTTGCCCAGGCTGGAGTGTAGTGGTGCAATCTCAGCACACTGCAACCTCCGCCTCCTGGGTTCAAGTGATTCTCCTGCCTCAGCCTCCCGAGTAGCTGGGACTACAGGTGTGCGCTACCACACCTGTCTAATTTTTGTATTTTTAGTAGAGACAGGGTTTCACCATATTGGCCAGGCTGGTCTCGAACTCCTGACCTCAGGTGATCCACCTGCTTTCAGCCTCTCAAAGTGCTGGGATTACAGATGCGCACCACCACTCCCAGCCAGTCTTTCTTGTTTCGTTATCTGTGAGCCTGTGGGTATGCATTTTCCTAAGTACCACTTTGGCCACATTTTCCAGATTTTGACATGTAGCTCTCTAATTATGTTTTATTTCTAGGTTGTAATTTGTGTTTTTATTTCCCCTTGGAACCAAGAATCATTTAGAAATTTTTCCAAGTTAACAAATTTTGGGATAATTTTTTGGATTTTTGTTATAAATTCTATTTCATCATGGTCAGAGAATACACATGTATGTGTACATCTGTATGTATATGCAGCTTGTATGACTTTTCACTTTTCTGTAACTTTAATCCACCTGTCTCAGGTCTGTTCTCCGATCCCCCTCAAAGAAAGCTTAGTTCCTTTTCCACAGGATGTGCCATTAAGTATTTCATAGCAGGCCGGCCATGGTGGCTCACACCTCTAATCCCAGCACTCTGGGAGGCCGAGGTGGGCAGACCACTTGAGGTCAGAAGTTCGAGACCAGCCCAGCCAATATGGTGAAACCCCATCTCCACCAAAAAATACAAAAGTTAGCCAGGTGCGGTGGTGCACCCCTGTAATCCCAGCTACTCAGTAGGCTGAGGCAGGAGAATTGCTTGAAACTGGGAGGCAGAAGTTGCAGTGAGATGAGATCACGCCATTGCACTCCAGCCTGGGTGACAGAGCGAGACTCCATCTCAAAAAAAAAAAAAAAAAAAAAAAAAAAATTCATAGCAGCTACTTAGTGATTCCTGTTGAGGGGGATGGAGGAGGATTATGCAGTCCTCCCCTGGAGACTTTTGGTCCTCTGGGGCCTTCTTAAGCACTCAGATCCACCAGCCTCCCTTCCTCCTCCCCAGTTACTGCGTTGAGACAGGATAGGAAAAACTGCTCTAAGTTAGACATTCACAGTAGGACAGCCGTGGTGAGGCTTCACTGTCCTGGAGTCCATCTCTGAAGACACTGGAGTCTCTCAATGTCCCTCCCTCGTAACTTATGAAGGCAATATGGTGCTCAGAATGCAGGGAGCAGAGCATCTCCTCTCTCTGTCCCTGGAGACTATACTTCTCTTTATGTGCTTCAAAGCTAGTATTGTCTTCTTCATAGCTCAGTCTATAAACCAAAGCCCCAAGCCAGTGTTTCCCACATTGTATTCCATAGAATACCAGCTCTGTAGATATCAATAGGTAATATACAGTTCTGTTTAGGGACTGCTGATTATTTATTTATTTATTTATTATTTATGACAGGGTCTCACTCTGTTTCCCAGGCTGGAATGCAGTGGCACTGTCAGGGCTCACTGCAGCCTTGAACTCCCGGGCTCAAGTGATCCTCTCACCTCAGCCTCCTGAGTAGCTGGGACTACAAGCATGCACCACCACACACAGCTAATTTTTTGTATTTTTGTTTTTAGTAGAGACAGGGTTTCGCCATGTTGCCTAGTCTGGTCTTAAACTCCTGAACTCAAGCAATTGGCCTGCCTTGGCCTTTCAAAGTGCTGGGATTACAGGTGTGAGCCACTGTGCTCGACCTAGGACTACTGATTTAAACAAAGAGAAATTTACTTCTTTACCATGGGCATCCAGGTCTCTGTATTTTCTAGTGCATAAATTGACTTTTTTTTTTTTTTTTAATTGAGACAGAGTCTCACTGTGTTGTCCAGGCTGGTCTTGAACTCCTGGGCTCAAGTAATTCTCCCACCTCTGCCTCCCAGTGTGCTGGGATTACAGGTGTGAGCCTCCACACCCAGCCACATAAATGGCTTTTTTTTTTTCTTTTTTTTGAGACGGAGTTTCACTTTTGTTGCCTAGGCTGGGGTGCAATGGTGCGATCTCGGCTCACTGTAACCTCTGCCTCCTAGGCTCAAGCGATTCTCTCACCACAGCCTCCTGAGTAGCTGGGATTACAGGCACCCGCCATCATGCCTGGCTAATTTTTTTGTATTTTTATAGAGATGGGGTTTCACCATGTTGGCCAGGCTGTTCTTGAACTCCTGACCTCAGGTGATCTGCCCGCCTCGGCCTCTCAAAGTGCTGGGATTACAGGCATGAGCCACCACGCCTGGCCTATAAATGGACTTTCTAAGAGGAGGAAAAAGCACAGTGGTGCTTCCCAAACTAATCTGTAATAGAACCCTCTTAAGAACACCAGGTACCTGTTCCGGAACAGATGCTGTGAACCCCCTAATGCCCTATTTTCAAGTATACTCCTGTGAAGTCTTTTTTTTGGTTGAACTTTATTTAGCCAATTGTTGAAATTGGTCCTTTGCTCCATCCTCTCAGTGGGTTTGTATCATGATTCCCCAATCCAGTGTTTCAGCTTTCCCCTGAGATTCTTACTGTCAGCAAATCAGATCAGCCTATGACCTATGTTCTCATACAATGCATAGATAAGCGCTTGGAAAAGGACAGGAGCAAGGACAGAGCCATGTAGTGTGCCTCTGAAATAGGGAGGACACACACATTCATCCCATAGAATGGCTTTGATTGATTGATAAGGGCAGCCTAGGCTAGCACTTCCCAGCCTTCCTTGTGGTGAATCACCTGAGAATGCAGGATGTGACTCAGGGAGTTTGGGGTGGGTCTGAGATTCTGCATTTCTCACAGACTCCCAGGTAATGCTGATGCTGCCAGTTCGGAAACTACATTTTGAGTAGCAAGGTACTAGAGCACTGCATTGAAAGGGATCTGAGGCTACATCTGCACTCAGTGGCAAAGAGTGTTGTGATCAATTAGTAATGTCTGCCACAGGCAGAGAAATGAGCTGTGAATAATGTGCCATCTTTGCCCTACAAGTCTATGTTGAAAATGATGCATTATTCAAGAAAGAGGAGGGAAAAAGTAAGGTATTGATATCATAATATGTTATACAAGCATACAAATGAATGTCTTCATATTTTTGATAGCATAAATTCCAGGCTGTATTGTGTTTTTTAAAAGGCAAGTTTGGAGAATAAACTGTATACTACACTCCCATGTGTTTACAATAATCAATAATCATATACTCTGACAATGCCAAGATTTGACAAAGGTAGAGAGAATGCGAACATTTTTATACTACTAGTGAGAACATAAACTAATATGGCTTTGGAAAACTATCTGGTATTATCAGTAAAACTGAAGACACACTCTATAACCCAGGAATCCTTCTCATGCACATGTGCACCAAGACCCATGGATAGAAGTACTGCATGTAATAGCCCCAAGTTGAAAACTCAAATGTCCCCCAAAAGGAAAATTGATAAATTACGGTATATTCATAATGAAATACTACACAATAATGGAAATGACAAAACTCTAACTATATGTGGATGAATCTGAGAAACAAAATGTTAACTGAGAAAGACAAGACACAAAAGACAATACAGTGGGCCAGGCACAGTGGCTCACACCTGTGATCCCAGCACTTTGGGAGGTTGAGGCAGGCAGATCACTTGAGCTCAGGAGTTTGAGACCAGCCTGGCTAACCGGGTGAAATCCTGCCTCTACTGAAAATACAAAAACTAGCTGGGCGTCGTGGTCTATTCCCGTAATCCCAGCTACTCAGGAGGCTGAGGCAGAAGAATTGCTTGAACCTGGGAGGTGGAGGTTGCAGTGAGCTGAAATTGTGCCACTGCACTCCAGCCTGGGTGACAGAGCAAGACTCCATCTCAAAAAAAAAAAAAAAAAAAAAAGACAATACACTGTATAACATATGATTCCAGTCCATACATTTCAAAAATAGAAGAACCTATATTATTTGGGGATGTGTACACAGGTGCTAAAACTATTCTTTTTTAAAAGGTAAGGTAACAGGGCTGGGTGCAGTGTTTCATGCCTGTAATCCCAGCATTGTGGGAGGCCAAGGCGGGAGGATTGTTTGAGGCCAGAAGTTCAAGACTAGCCTGAACAATATAGCAAGAAGTCATCACTACAGAAGATTAAAAACATTAGCTGGCTGGGAGCAGTAGCTCATGCCTGTAATCCCAGCACTTTGGGAGGCCAAGGCGGGTGGATTACCTCAGGTCAGGAGTTTGAGACCAGTCTGGCCAACATGGTGAAACCCCATCTTTACTAAAAATACAAAAATTAGCCAGGCATGGTAGTGGTTGCCTGGCTACTCAGGAGGCTGACGCAGGAGAACTGCTTGAAACTAGGAGGCGGAGGTTGCAGCGAGCCGAGGTTGCACCACTGTACTCCATCCAGCCTGGGCGACAGAGCGAGACTCTGTCTCAAAAAAAAAAAAAAAAAAAAAAAAAAAAAATTAGCTGGAAGTGGTGCTATGGTCCCAGCTACTCTGGAGGCTGAGTGGGAGGATCCCTGAGTGGGGGTTGAGGCTGCAGTGAGCCATGATCAAGCCACTGCACTCCAGCCTGGGCAACACTGAGACACTCTCTCAAAAACAAAAATAAAATAAAGGCAAGGATAAAATAAAGGCAAGGATATGGCTATCACTAAAGTCAGAATCATGAGCATGTTTAGGAATAAGCTGGCTATGTTCAGGGAGGCACAGACAGGGGCTTTGGGGAGGGATCTTCTCACTTCTATTCCTTCAACTGGGTATTAATGAGTTATTTTTTAAACCTTACATACAAGTTTTTTTTGCATTTTTCTAGGTACTATATACAACATGTGCTATATACAACAGACTCATGTATATAAATGTGTATTTGTTGTTGAGAATTTTTTTTGGAAGGAGACACAGGAAATTGGTAAGCCTGATTACTTCCATAAAGGAGAACTGGGGTTGGGGTATCTGAATGACAGAGGCTGGGAGGTGGAAGCTGTAGTGAGCCATGATCACACCACTGCACTCCAGTCTGGGCAACAGAACAAAACCTGTCTCAAAAAAAAATAAATAGAAAATAAAAGAAAGAAAACAAAAATAAAACATGTAGTTTTGAGCCACTTAGATTTTGGATTTGTTTGTTTTTGTAGCATTACCTAACCTATACTTACTAAAATAGAGCCTTTGTTTTTTCAAGTACACTGTTTCATGAGGGCTTGAGCTCCAGGTTTATTTTCTCCTTCTTGTAAATTGTATTCTTATTACTATTATTTTTAAAGATAAGGTCCTGCTCTGTCACCCAGAACTCCTGGGCTCAAGCAATCCTTTCCGCCTCAGCTTCCAGAGTAGCTACCACTACAGGCATGTACCATCATGCCCAGCTAATTTATTTTATTTCATTTTCATAAAGACTGGGTCTCACTATGTTGCCCAGGCTGGTCTCAAACTCCTGGGCTCAACCTTGTCATCCCACCTCAGCCTCAGCCTCCTGAGTAGCTGGGACTACAGGTGTGCGACACCATGCCCAGCTAATTTTCCCTTTGATGAATATACCCACATACCTAGTTTTAAACATGTTCTCTCTAAGAAAAGATAGTTGACCATGAGTGACCATGGTGGGTCTGTAGGTGCCGGAAGGGTGAAAGTCAAATTCCTTTAAAGTTTAAAGGAAAACCCAAACTGGCAGTTCTCTGCAGAAGAGGACTGTCTTGCATACCTCCCCACAGGTAGACTCTTGGGTGAGGAATGGTCCGGCTCCCTGTGAGGAGAAAGAGGGCAGTAAATAGGAGAGGGACAAAGTAGGCTGGTGGGGCCTACTCAGTCATGAAGGGATTTTTCTTTCCTAGGTCCTCTGCGTCTCCTTCCTCATCTTCCTGAAGACCCTCCTAGTCCAGCCCTGGAGAGAGGATGTAGGACCTGGAGGAGGGTGTACCTATCCAAAGGAGGGATCAGAAATAACAGGGGACGCCAGGCACAGTGGCTCATACCTATAATCCCAGCACTTTGGGAGGCCAAGGGGGACAGATCACTTGAGATCAGGAGTTCGAGACCAGCCTGGCCAACAGAGCGAAACCCTGTCTACTAAAAATACAAAAATTAGTTGAATGTGGTGGTAGGTGCCTGTAGTCCCAGCTACTCAGGAGGCTGAGGCAGGAGAATTGCTTAAACCCAGGAGGCGGAGGTTGCAGTGAGCCGAGATCAGGCCACTGTGCTCCAGCCTGGGTGACAAAGTGAGACTCTGTCTCAAAAAATAAAAAGGAGGGGGGAGGGGGAAAGTGGGGGCATTTCTCAAGGGATGGGCCATGCATGCTTTCTAATAGAAGAGTCAGGCAGGTTGACTTAAAAGATTTAAATAAAAGGCCGGGTGCGGTGGCTCATGCCTGTAATCCCAGCACTTTGGGAGGCTGAGGCGGGCAGATCACTCAGGAGTTCAAGACTAGGCTGGCCAGCCTGGTGAAACCCTGTCTCTACTAAAAATACAAAAAATTAGCTGGGCATGGTGATGCACACCTGTAATCCCAGCTACTCGGGAGGCTGAGGCAGGAGAACTGCTTGAACCTGGGAGGCAGAGGTTGCAGTGAGCCAAGATTGCGCCATTGCACTCCAGCCTGGGCAATAAGAGCAAGACTCCATTTCAAAAAAATAAAATAAAATAAAATAATTAAGTGAATCTGAATATAGGCTTTTTCACATATCCCTGTTAAATTTGATTTTACTTGTTCAGTCCATCATTCTGGATCACAGAGATTGCCCTAAACCCTACTTGGTGTTATCATCTCTCTCTCTTTTTTTTTTTTAGAGACAGTGTCTCACTATGTTGCCCAGGCTGGTCTTAAACAATCCTCCTGCCTTGGCCTCTCAAAGTGCTAGGATTACAGGTGTGAGCCACCGTGCCTAGCCATTATTATCTCACATACTGATTGTTCCTTCAAGCTTAGAGTCATTTACAATTTGATAAACATTTCCTCCATTTTTTTCATTGATAATGCCACTGCAGTCTAGCCTGGGTGACATAGCAAGACCCTGTGTCAAAAAAAAAGATAACAATGTTGTAAGTCAGGCTCCCTAGAAGCAGAGCCTGAGGCGGGGATTCAGCTGCACGTGATGTCTTCGGGGAGTGCTCCCATGAGAAGGAAGTGAGGGAAGCCACATGTGACAGAGGAAGAAGCTGAGCAAAGATGTGGTTTTCATCTAGAATCTAGCCTTAGCATGATCCCACAGAGAGCTCAGAAGTATGAATAGCACCACAGTGTTGGTCTCACCCTGGGGCAAGAGGACCAGCCTTTATACAACAGAGTCACACAGCACTGTTTGCAGGCTGCTGGGGGTGAGTAACCTCCCAGACAAGGCGACCCCTGTTGGCCAAAAATAACTCTCTAGAAAATGGGGCAGTTGTGAGTCATTATCAACCATCACTCCCTGCAGCTGGGGGAAAGATGCACCAGGCAGCTGTATGAGCTTAATTGTGTCCTCCAAAATGTCATATGTGGAAACCCTAACCTCCAGTACCTCAGAATGTGACTCTATTTGGAGACAGAGCCTTTTTTTTGTTGTTGTTTGTTTTGTTTTGTTTTTGAGACGGAGTCTCTCTCTGTCGCCCAGGCTGGAGTGCAGTGGCGCGATGTCGGCTCACCGCAAGCTCCACTTCCCGGGTTCAGGCCATTCTCCTGCCTCAGCCTCCGGAGTAGCTGGGGCTACAGATGCTCGCCATCACGCCCAGCTAATTTTTTGTATTTTTAGTAGAGACGGGGTTTCATCATGTTAGCCAGGATGGTCTCGATCTCCTGACCTCGTGATACACCCACCTCGGCCTCCCAAAGTGCTGGGATTACAGGCATGAGCCACCGCGCCCGGCCGACAGCGCCTTTAAAGAGGTAATTAACTTAAAATGAGGCTGTTAGGTTGGCCCCTAATCCAGTCTGACTGATATCCTTATAAGAAGAGGAATTAGGACACACAGAGAGACACCAGGAATACATATGCACAGAAGAAAGACCATTTGAGGACACAGAGAGACTATGGCCATCTGCAAGCCAAAGAGAGAGACTCAGAAGAAACCCATCCTGCACGTGCCTTGATCTTGGACTTCTAGCCACCAGAGCTATGAGAAAACACATTTCTGTTGTTTAAGCCAAAGCTAGTGGTACTTTTTGGTAGCTTGAGCTGACTGAGACAGCAGATGAACAGGATCTGGATGGCACCAACAACATCCACTACATCTTTTTTTTTTTTTTTTTTTTTTGAGATGGAGTCTCACTCTATCATCCAGGCTGGAGTGCAGTGATGTGATCTCGGCTCACCACAACTTCCACCTCCCAGATCCAACTGATTATCCTGCCTCAGCTTCCCGAGTAGCTGAAATTATAGGTGTGAACCACCATACCCAGCTAATTTTTAGCAGAGACAGGGTTTCACCATGTTGGCCAGGCTGGTCCGATTTTTTTGTATTTTTAGTAGACACGAGGTTTCACCATGTTGGCCAGGCTGGTCTCAAACTCCTGACCTCAGGTGATCTGCCTGCCTTGGCCTCCCAAAGTGCTGGCATTACAGTTGTGAGCCACTGCGTCCAGCCTCCCCTACATCTTCATGTATGCTCTCCACCCAAATCATCTCTCCTTTCCTTCCCCACCTCCTCCCAAAAACAGCTCATTTAAATCTGTCTGCCCTCTCTTCATTGGGAGCTACAGTGCCAATTATAGGAACCAGCTAATTTCCTCTATCAGCTGCCTGCCCCAGACAGGAGCCAACCAGTTTTCCCAGCCTCCTTTCAGCACTTTTGACATCTCAATGAAAACAGTGCAAATGGGCTAGGAATGGTCTTTTGGTTGAAATGAGCCATAAACCATCAAATAATTGCACATGTTTCTATATTTCAGCCCTTAACCCACCATTGATACCCAGTTCTGACTTAGGGGATTTATGTGTCCTTGCCCAGTCTACAAAGAGCTTAAGAATTGTTCCCATGATCTCCATGGAGGGGCAGAGCATCACAAAGGGAAGGAGACAGAGTTGGCTAAACTTTCTGAGATGAGATCTTTAGTTATTAAATCATTAAGGTTAGTTTTCTTTCCAATGTTGGATGTTTCTTGTTGCAACACTAACTCTATTGATCCAGTTTCCACCTAACAGGGGGAATTCTCCAGCCTTCCAGTTGGCTGAACAAGTTTCCAAGGAGTGGACACCAAGTTTGCTAAGTTTAGGGTTGGTAAGTTTGAGTAAGAACTTTGGCTTTTTATCTGGGTGAAATTGGGAGCCATTGGTGAATGTATTAGATTGCTAGGGCTGTCATAACAAAGTATCCCAGACTGGATGGCTTAAACAACAGAAACTAATTTTGTCACCATTCTGGAGGCTTGAAGTCCAAGACCAAGGTGTCAGCAGGGTTGGTTTCTCCTCAGGCCTCTTTCCTTGGCTTGTTGAGATGGCAGTCTTCTTCTATAACTTCACATGGTCTTCCCTTTATGTGTGGTGTCCAATTTTCCTCTTTTTTTTTTTTTTTTTTTTTTTGAGGTGGAGTCTCACTTTGGCTGGAGTGCAGTGGCATGGTCTCGGCTTACAACAACCTCCACCTCCCGGGTTCAAGTAATTCTCCTGCCTCAGCCTCTCGAGTAGCTGGGATTACAGGCACCTACCACCAAGCCCAGCTAATTTTTGTATTTTTAGTAGACACGCGGTTTCACCATGTTGGCCAGGCTGGTCTCGAACTCCTGACCTGAAGTGATCCACCTGCCTCAGCCTCCCAAAGTGCTGAGATTAGAGGTGTGAGCCACTGCATCTGGCTTCTTCTTTTTTGTCACTGCAGCCTCGATCTCCAGGACTCAAGTGATTCCCCCACCTCAGCTTCCCAAATAGCTGGTGGGACTACAGGTGCACACCACCACGCCCGGCTAATTTTTATATTTTTTTATGGAATCGGGGTTCTGCTGTGTTGCCCAAGCTGGTCTCGAACTGCTGGGCTCTAGCGATCTGCCCACCTTGACCTCCCAAAGTGCCGGGATTACAGGCATAAGCCGCTGCACCTGGCCTCCATTTTCCTCTTCTAATAAACACATAAGTCATACACATTAGACCCCACCCTAATGACCTCGTTTTAACGTAATTGCCTCTTTGAAGACTCTATCCCCAAATACAGTTACATTTTGAGGTACTGGGGCTTAGAACTTCAACATATGAACTGAATTGGAGGGGGACACAATTCAGCCCATAACAGAGGGTTTTGGACAGAAGAAGGACTTTGTAATGTCTTAACTGACTTTTTTTATAGTAAATAAGAGAAATGTGGCTGTGTCCTGCCCGGCTCCCAGGCAGCCAGAGCTAATGGTTATCTCCCTTGTTCCCTGAACATCGCTGTTATCCTGTTCTTTCTTCAAGGTGCCCAAATTTCATATTGTTTAAACACACATGCTTTACGAATAATTTGTGCAGTTAATGCAACCATCACAGGGTCTTGAGGCAACATACATCTTCAGTTTACGAAGATGACGGGATTAGGAGATTAAAGTAAAGACAAGCATAGGAAATTTTAAGAGTATTGATTGGGGAAGTGATAAATGTCCATGAAATCTTCACAATTTATGTTCAGAGATTGCAGTAAAGACAGGCCTAAGAAATTATGAAAGTATTAATTTGGAGAACTAACAAATGTCCATGAAATCTTCACAATTTATGTTCTTCTGTCACAGCTTCAGCAGGTCCCTCTGTTCAGGGTCCCTGACTTCCCACAACAATAGCAGAGACAGGGTCTTGCTCTGTTGCCCAGGCTGGAGTGCAGTGGCATGATCACAGCTCATTGCAGCCTTGAACTCCTGGCTCAAGCAATCTTTCTGCCTCAACGTCCAAAAGCACTGGAATTACAGGTGCGAGCCCCCATGCCTGGCTGTCATCTGACTTTTTTAAAGGACCACTTAGGCTGTTGGGTAAGAAGGCAAGGGTATCAGAGCAGAGCCCACCAGGAGATGACTGCAATAATCCAGAGGAGAGAAGAGGGTGTCTTGAGTAGGGGGATAGCAGTGATAAGATGCAGATAATAAGGGGGATCAGATCCTGAAATATATATATATACTTTTTTTTGGAGACTGACAGATATCCGTTGAGGTCAGGAGTTCGAGACCAGCCTGGCCAACATGGTGAAACCCCATCTCTACTAAAAATACAAAAATTAGCTGGGCATGGTGGTGGCCACCTGTAATCTCAGCTACTTGGGAGGCTGAGGCAGGAGAATCACTTGAACCCAGGAGGCAGAGGTTGCAGTGAGCCAAGATCATGTCACTGCACTCTGGCCTGGGGGACTGAGGAGACTCCATCTCAAAATCCCAGCTACTCAGGAAGCTGAGGTGTGAGGATCACTTGAGCCCAGGAGGCCAAGACAGCAGTGAACTGAGATTGCACCACTGCATTTCAGTCTGGGTGACAGAAGGAGGCTCTGTCTCAAAACAAAACCAAATAAAACACACACACACACACAGACACACACACACACAAATAAAGGCAATGCGTTAATCTGCGTGGAAATGAGAGGCATGTTATTTGGGAATGTGAGGTAGCCATCCAGTGATGTTTAACAGATGTTTTTACAGCCAACTTTCCAGAAAAAAAAATGCATATATATTAATATACACGTTTATTATAAATTTTTCTGATATAAGGGATATATGGTATACAATTTACAGATGATAAAATATATGTATTTCTCCTTTTTTCCTTTTCCTTTTTTTTTTTTTTTTGACGTAATGTCTCACTCTGTTGCCTAGGCTGAAATGCAGTGGTACAGTCTCGGTTCACTGCAGTCTTTTTTTTTGAGACGGAGTTTTACTCTTGTTGCCCAAGCTGAAGAGCAATGGCGCGATCGCGGCTCACCACAACCTCCGCCTCCCAGGTTCAAGCAATTCTCCTGCCTCAGCTTCCTGAGTAGCTGGGATTACAGGCATGCAGCACCATGCCAGGCTAATTTTGTGTTTTTAGTAGAGATGGGGTTTCTCCATATTGGTCAGGCTGGTCTCAAACTCCTGACTTCAGGTGATCCGCCTGCCTTGGCCTCCCAAAGTGCTGGGCCTCCCAAAGTGCTGGGATTACAGGCGTGAGCCACCGCGCCCGGCCTGCAGTCTTGACCTCCTGGGCTTAAGTGATTCTCCCACCTCAGCCTCCTAGTAGCTGGGACTCCAGGCACGCACCACCACACCCAGCTAATTTTTTTTTTCTTTTTCTTTTTGTAGATATGTGGTTTCACTGGTCTGGAACTCCTGGGCTCAAGTGATCTACCCACAGGCGTGGATTACAGGCATGAGCCACCTTGCCCAGCCTAAAACATACATTTATTTCTAATTCCATATAGCAAGTTGATTCTAACGGAATGTTTTCATTGATTTTTTTTTTTTTTGAGACAGAGTTTCACTCTTGTCAACCAGGCTGGAGTGCAATAGAGTAATCTCGGCTCACTGCACTCTCTGCCTCCCAGGTTCAAGCGATCCTTCTGCCTCAGCCTTGCAAACATCTGGGATTAGCCGAGATCGCACTGCTGCACTCCAGTCTGTGCAACTGGAAACCCTGTCTCAAAAAAAAAAAATACTAGTGAAAATGTTGATAAAAGTATGTCATATCTGTAGCTGTAGCCTTTGCATTGGAATAGCATGAACAAACATTTGAGGAAATGTTCTTCCAGTGTTCATAATCTTTTTTTTTCAGCAAAGAAGTTCTCCTACCTCTGATTAACAAGTGAAGTTCTGAAATATATAGCTCTTGTTTTACTTTGTCTTCTTTGATAACATACATGAAAATATCAACCAACATTCATGTTAGATACCAGAGTTCAGCAAAAATCAGTGAAAGTGGCCAGGCGCAATGGCTCATGCCTGTAATCTCAGCACTTTGAGAGGCCGAAGTGGGTGGATCACTTGAGGAGTTCAAGACCAGGCTGGCCAACCTGGTGAAACCCCGTCTCTACTAAAAATACAAAAATTAGCCAGGTGTGTTGGTGTGCACCTGTAATCCCAGCTACTTAGGAAGCTGAGGCAGGAGAATTGCTTGAACCCAGGAGGCAGAGGTTGCAGTGAGCCAAGATCATGCCACTGGACTCCAGTCTGGGCAATAGAGCAAGACTCCATCTCAGAAAAAAATAAAATAAATTAAATTAAATAAATAAGCCCGGTGGGGTGGCTCATATCTGTAACCCCAGCACTTTGGGAGGCCAAGGCAAGCAGATCACAAGGTCAGGAATTCGAGAACAGCCTGGCCAGTATGGTGAAACCCTGTCTCTACTAAAAATACAAAAATTAGCTGGGCGTGGTGGCGGGCACCTGTAGTCCCAGCTACTTGGGAGGCTGAGGCAGGAGAATCGCTTGAACCTGGGAGGTGGAGGTTGCAGTGAACCAAGATCGCACCACTGCACTCCAGCCTGGGCGACAGAGTGAGACTCTGTCATAAATAAATAAATAAATAAATAAATAAATAAATAAATAAATAAAAATAAATATAAATAATAAAAAATGAGAATACAAAAATTAGCTGGGCGTGGTGGTGGGCGCCTGTAATCCCAGCTCGGCAGTGAGCCGAGATTGTGCCACTGCACTCCAGCCTGGGCAACAGAGCAAGACTCAGTCTCAAAAAAAAAAACAAAATTATAAAACAAATAAATAAATAAAAATAATAAAAACATACAAAAATTAGCTGGGCGTGGTGGTGGGCACCTGTAATCCCAGCTCAGGAGTGAGCCAAGATCATGCCATTGCACTCCAGCTTGGGTGACAGAGTGAGACTCTGTCTCAAAAAAAATAAAAAATAAATAAATAAAAATAAAAATAAAATAAAATCTTTCCCAAGCCCAGGGAGCTTATTCTTAGAGAAGGGGGAAGGATAACGGATTGAGCAGGCATTCCAAAAAGTATTACAACACACTTGGTAGACAAGGAAAAACTCTGAGTCCTTTTAAAAGCAAGCCGAACGTCACACATGGAGAGATGACTGAGATGAAAGGACAGCAGGATAAGTTAGAGGAAAGTTGGATGATATCAAAAAGGATTGCAGGAAAACTAAAATTCAAGAATAGCATTAAAATCCATTTTGGAGGATGACCTTTAAAAAAGCTTGCCTGGAATGTGACAAAAAAGAACAGAGTAACAGACGAAGAGGATCATAGCAGGCAGAGAACACAAAGCTGGGTCAGAGACACAGTGGAAATATCCTTTCTCCCTTTTCTTTTCTTGACATTATTTTGGTTTTGTTAGAGGTGAGGCTGGTGTTAGAGAGGCCAAATTTTGACGATGATGAAAAAGCCGAGGGCACTGGGGGGTTTGGGCTCCAACATCCTTATTCCACTGAACCACGACCCTCAACTGCCTATCCCTAGACATTTCATTATGTGAGCAAAATAAACACCTATTTTAAGTCACTGGTGTCTGAGTTTTCTAAAACATGAATTTCAGACAATTCATGTTCCCTGAAATCCCTAGCTGATATGCTAGCATTCATATAATCAGTGTTTCTCAGGCGAAATCAGAACAAAAAGGATTAAGCCTAATAATTGAAACTATAAGAGAATAAAATTATCCTGAGATAAAGAAATATGCAGATCAAAGAGTTTACTGTCTGCTGAATGAAATTAGTGAGAAGATCTACATTTAAACATGATTCACCAAGGCGGGTGGATCACTTGAGGTCAGGAGTCTGAGACCAGCCTGGCCAACATGGTGAAACCCCATCTCTACTAAAAATACAAAAATTAGCTGGGTGTGGGTGCACTTGCCTCTGATCTCAGCTACTCGGGAGGCTGAGGCAGTAGAATTGCTTGAACCTGGGAGGCGGAGGTTGCTGAGATGGCATCACTACATTCCAGCTTGGGTGACAGAGCAAGACTCCGTCTCAAACAAACAAGCAAACAAACATAAAGACCATTCAGCAAAGTATCTAAACTGTGAGAGGAAAAAAGATAGGATCCATGTAGAAATGATGGGAAAAACAAGAAAGAAATATATGTAAGCTGGCCTTAATACCAACCTCTACAAGAGTTTTATGGGGTAAAATATTGCGACTCAAGGATTTTATACCCAGTTTATATTTCATGTGTAAGGGCAAAAGAACATTCTCAGATATTCAAGGGCTAAAAAAAAAAGTCTATCATATCTAGCTTGTAGTAAAATACTATGCAAGGCTGAGGCAGGTGGATCACTCGAGGTCAGGAGTTTGAGACCAGCCCCGGCAATATGGTGAAACCCCGTCTTTACTAAAAATACAAAAATTAGCCAGGTGTAGTGGTGTGCGCCTATAATCCCAGCTACTCAGGAGGCTGAGGCAGGAGAATTGCTTGAACCCAGGAGGTGGAGGTTGCAGTCAGCTGAGATCGCACCACTGCACTCCAGCTGGGAGACAGAGTAACTCTGTCTCCAAAAAACAAACAAACAAACAAAAATTATGCACCTTTTTTTTAAACATGGAAATTTTTAAGGTAAAAATATGGAAAGATTCCCAAGATACATACTGTTACGTGAGAAGAAGCATGCAGAACAGTCTGTACATCATGCTACTGTAAGAGTTAAAATCGGGAGAAAGCAAGAATCTGTATTAATACTAGCTTGTTTATTCATAAAGAAAGGAAGTGAAACATAAGAAACTAAGAATTGTGGTTAATGGTTGTTGGAAAGATGGGAGACAAGGCTGGGAAGAAGGCTAATTCTTCATATATTTTGATGTGGCTTTTGAACCATGTAAAAGGATTACCCATTTGGTCCGGGTGCAGTGGCTCCGCCTGTAATCCCAACACTCTGGGAGGCCAAGCCGGGTGGATTGCCTGAGCTCAGGAGACCAGCCTGACCAATGTGGCAAAACCTTGTCTCTATAAAAATTATAAAAAATTAGCTGCGCATGGTGGTGTGCGCCTGCAGTCCCAGCTACTCAGGAGACTGAGGCATGAGAATTACTTGAACCCAGGAGGCGGAGGTTGCAGGAGCGGAGATTGCACCACTGCACGCCAGCCTGGGCGACAGAGCAAGACTCTTTCTCAAAAAAACAAAAGTATTACCCATTCAAAGATTAAACTCGAAATACTGTATATTTTTATTTTTAATTTATTTTTATTTTTGTTTTTTATTTGTATTACCCATTCAAAAATTAAACTTGAAATACTATTTTTATTTTTTTATTTTTTATTTTTTAGAGACAGGATCTCACTATGTTGCCCAGGCTGATGTGCAATGGCTTAAAATAGTTGTGTGTGTGTGTGTGTTTTGGAGACAGGGTCTTGCTCTGTCACCCAGTCCGCTGTGCAGTGGTGTGATTCCAGCTCACCGCAACCTTGAACTCCTGAGCTTAAGGGATCCTTGCGCTGCCTCAGCCTCCCAAGTAGCTAGGATAAGCAGTCTTCCTGCCTCGGCCTCCCAAAGTACTGAAATTATACGGATGAGCTACCACACCCAGCAAATATATATATACTATTGGAAGGCTGAGAGGTGGGAGGAACTCTTGACCCCAGGAGGTTGAGGCAGCAGTGAGCCATGACTCAAAAATTTTTTTAAAATTATATTACTATAGTTGTATATTGTAGTTATATACATATAGTTATTTGTTTAACATCTGCCTGCAAAAAGTGCTTTACAGGCTCACGCCTGTAATCCCAACACTTTGGGAGGACGAGGCAGGCAGATCACTTGAGGTCAGGAATTTGAAATCAGCCTGGCCAACATGATGAAACCCCGTCTCTACTAAAAATACAAAAATTAGCCAGGTGTGGATGCAGGCGCCTGCAGTCCCAGCTACTCGGGAGGCTGAGGCAGGAGAATCGCTTGAACCCGGGAGGCAGAGGTTGCAGTGAGCCGAGATTGTGCCATTGCGCCCCAGCCTGGGTGACTCTGTCTCAAAAAAAAAAAAAAAATTATCCGGGTGTGGAGGCACATGCCTGTAGTCCCAGCTACTTGAGAGGCTGAAGCAGGAGAATTGCTTGATTGCTTGAACCTGGGAGGCGGAGGTTGCAGTCAGCCGAGATGGCACCACTGCACTCCAGCCTGGGCGACAGAGCAAGATTCTGTCTCAAAAAAAAAAAAGAGATATATACCAACTGGCTGAAAGAGGAAGCAAAATATGAATCTGAGAAATGGGGAAGTCAAGGTATAGAGTGGGTTGGAGCACACAACCAAAGTCAAAAGGTCAAAAGTCACAATTATTGTAGAGCTGATTTCAATACTCAATGCCAACATAAAAAAATTCTTGAAAGAATACTCCACATGACTTTCAGGGTGGATTTTTCTATTTTTGCAAAGAATGTCATTGGGATTTTTGATAAAGACTACGTGAAATCTATAGATCACTTTGGATAGTTTTGACATCTTAACAATATGAAGTCTTTCAATCCATAAACATAGGGTATCTTTCCATTTATTTATGTCTTTTAAAATTGCTTTCAGCAATGTTTTGTGGTTTTCATTGCACAAGTCTTTCAATGACTATTTTATTCCTTTTTTTTTTTTTAGAGATGGAGTTTCGCTCTTGTTGCCCAGGCTGGAGTGCAATGGCACGATCTCAGCTTACCACAACCTCCACCTATGGGGTTCAAGCGATTCTCCTGCTTCAGCCTCCCGAGTAACTGGGATTACAGGCATGTACCACCATGCCCAGCTAATTCTGTATTTTTAGTAGAGAAGGGGTTTCTCCATGTTGGTCAGGCTGGCCTCGAACTCCCAACCTCATGTGATCTGCCTGCCTCAGCCTCCCAAAATGCTGGGATTACAGGCGTGAGACACCGCACCCAGCTGTATTCTTTTTATGCTATTATAAATAGAATTATTTTCTTAATTTCATTTTCAGATTGTTCTTTGTTAGTATATAGTAACACAACTGATTTTCATGTATTGCTTTTGTGTCCTGCTGCTTTGCCAAATTTGTTTAGTAGTTCCAAAGGGTTTTTTGTGGAATCTTTAGGGTTTTCTAAGATCATATAATCTATGAATAATAATTTTCCTTCTTCCTTTCCAATTTGGATGCATTTTCTTTCTTTCTTCTTTTCTTTCTATTCCCTCCTTTTCCTTTTCTTTTTTCTTTTCTTTCCTTTTCTTCCTTTTTGCCTAATTGCTCTATCTAGAAATTCCAAGACTACGTGGTATGGAAGTGGTGAAAGTGGGCATTCTTGTCTTGTTCCTGATCTTCGAGGAAAAAGTTTGTCTTGCATCATTGAGTATGATTTAACTATGGGGTTTTCATATATGGCTATCATATTGTGGTAGTTTTCTTCTATTTCTAGTTTGCTGCATTTTTTTTTTAATCATGAAAGCGTGTTGAACTTTTTCAAAAGCTTTTTGTGCATTGACTAAGATGATCATGTGGTTTTTGTCTGTCATTCAGTTACTGTTGTGCATTACACTTACCGATTCTGGGATTGATTTTAAAGCATTCATTCCTCCAAACACACTCCCAGGGTTAGGTCTCTTACCTCTGCATGTATTTAGGAAAAAGACATAATATGACCAACTTCCCAACTATTAAACCATGTTTAGGATAAACTGTATTTTGTTATGGTGCCTTATTTATTTATTTATGAGACGGAGTCTTGCTGTGTCACCCAGGCTGGAGTGCAGTGGCGTGATCTCGGCTCACTGCGACCTCCGCCTCCCAGGTTCAAGTGATCCTCCTGCCTCAGCCTCCTGAGTAGCTGGGATTACAGGCACGCACCACCACATCTGGCTAATTTTTATATTTTTAGTAGAGACAGGGTTTCACCGTGTTGGCCAGGCTCGTCTCGAACTCCTGACCTCAGGTGATCTGCCCCACCTTGGCCTCCCAAAGTGCTGGGATTTACAGGCGTGAGCCACCGACCCTGGCCTGGCGCCTTCTTTTAAATAAGTTTTTTTTTTTTTTTTGAGATGAAGTCTTGCTCTGTCGCCCAAGCTGGAATACAGTGGTGTGATCTCGTAACCTCTGCCTCCCGGGTTCAAGCAATTCTCTGTCTCAGCCTCCTGAGTAGCTGGGATTACAGGTGTCCGCCACCATGCCCGGCTAATTTTTGTATTTTTAGTAGAGATGGGGTTTTGCCATCTTGGCCAGGCTTGTCTTGAACCCCTAACCTCGTGATCCACCCGCCTCGGCCTCCCAAAGTGCTGGGATTACAGGCATGAGCCACCGCGTCTGGCCCTTTTAAATAGTTTTATACTGCATACTATATTCAGTCTTTAGTGGTAGATGAATTCTTACTCTGTTGTTGCGTGCCCTGGAGAGCATAGTTCCTTGGAGACACCAAAGGAAGATTTTTCCAGGAAGGTCTTTTGGGAAGGGGCCTCCTCCAAGAAGGGAGTGAGGAAGGAGGTAGATTGAGTCAATGCACTTTTCCTCTATCTGGTCAGAGTTCTTGAAGGTATTTTTCTTCTGAACTTGGGTGGGGTTTGCAGTGGGGTAGGGGAAAAGAGAAATGATTCTGACACATACAAGAAAATGCTCCTTTGTGGGGCACGGGGGCAGGAGTTGCTTCCAAAAGGACCCAACAAAGACCTGTAGGGAACGTTTAAATTTATCTGTGTGTGGCCGGGCATGGTGGCTCATGCCTGTAATCCCAGCACTTTGGGAGGCCAAAGTAGGTGGATCACCTGAGGTCGGGATTTTGAGAGCAACCTGGACAACATGGTGAAACATGGTGAAACCCCGTCTCTACTAAAAATACAAAGTTAGCCCGGCATGGTGGCGCGTACCTGTAATCCCAGCTATTCGGCAGGCTGTGGAAGAAGAATCTCTTGAACCTGGGAGGCGGAGACTGCAGTGAGCCAAAATTGCGCCATTGCACTTCAGCCTGGATGACAAGAGCGCAACTCTGTCTCAAAAAATAAATAAATAAATATCTGTGTGAACTAGCACTTGAGAGACTGCAGCCTCAGGCAGTTTTCAGCCCTGTGCACACAATGAAATTACCTAAGGGGCTTAAAAAAAAATACGGAAGCCTGGGTCCCACCCCAGAGGCTCTGAGGGAAGTAACCTGCAGTGCAGTTTTTAACCATCCACAGGTGTTCGTCATGCAGCGCCAAGGTTGGGTAATGAAGAGCTGACATTGATTGAAGCTTACTCTGTGCCAAGCTCCATTCTACAAGTTTTACTTCACAATAACCTTACAAGACAGGTCTACTGTTATCCTTCATAGAGGGCCATTGAGGCACAAAGAGGTTAAGTGCTGGCCAAGGACACCCAGTTCATAAGGGGTATTCTCTCCACTTGAACTTCAGAGCCCATGCCCCTTACCACAGTGCTGTGCCAGCAAGGGTTGCATGCCAGGCCCTGCCATGATCCTGCCCCAGTTTCCCCTGGGGAAGAGAAATGAGCCAAAACCTAAAGGGCAGGAGTAGCTGGCCATGGTGGCTCATGCCTGTAACCCCAGCACTGTGAGAGACCGAGGCAGGAATATCACTTGAGCCCAGGAGTTCAAGACCAGCCTGGGCAACATAGCAAGACTCTATCTCTACAAAATAACTGTTTTTAATTAGCCAGGTGTGGCAGAGTGCGCCTGTAGTCCTAGCTACTCAGGAGGCTGAGGTGGGAGGATCGCTTGAGCCCAGGAGGTCAAGGGTGCAGTGAGCCGTGGCTTTGTCACGGCATTCCAGCCTGGACAACAGAGCGAAAACTTGTTTAAAAAAAAATAGAAATAAAAGCAGGAACATCTCCTTCTCTACTAAACCGGTCCAGGCACCAAGGACATTGCTGATGAGCACAAAAGGGAACACAGGAGTCTGTTTTAAGCTCCTGATGCCAGTGCCTCCATGGAGCAGCCCAGATATGACCACCATACCCTGAGTGAACTGCCTCCCAGAGATGTCTGGGTGACCCTAGATCCCCTGGCTCCTCTTCAGCCCCTCCTGATTCTCATCAGTGTTTGTTGCCTCCCAATCCAAAGAGTGCATGGAATTCATGACATGCATCTTCTTACATGGGCCTGCAGGGTAGGAGACATCAACACTGCCCCAGCAAATCGAATATGCAAGCTAGAGCCTGTGATCCGACAGAGAACTGAAGCAGTTGTTTTTCCCAGTCTCCTGGGGAATGTGAGATTCGTTCAGTGTCATCCTCACCCCAGCTGAGGATTCCTGGGGAGCCAGAAGGAAGCTGGGAATATAAAATGGCGGCGGCCCACCCACACCCCAGCCAATGTGAAAATAAGTCCTGAGAGAAAAAGGGAAGCTGGGTGCTGTGGCTCATGCCTGTAATCCCAGCACTTTGGGAGGCCAAGGCAGGAGGATCACTTGAGCTCAGGAGTTCGAGACCAGCCTGGGCAATGCAGTGAGACCTCATCTCTACAGAAAATTAGAAAATTAGCTGGGCATGGTGGTATGTGCCTGTAGTACCAGCTACTTGGGAGGGTGAGGTGGGAGGATCCCCTGAGCCCTGGAGGTCAGGGCTGCAGTGAGCCCTGATCATGCCACCATACTCCAGCACTCCAGAGTGAGACCCTGTCTCAATAAATAAATAAAGCAATAAAATGGAAAGCATAGAAGGCAAGAGAAAAAGAAAAAAAACAGAACAAGATTATAGCTTAAAGTCCCCCAGTGTCAGATCAAGAGTTTAAAAATGAGCAGTCAGGTCGGTTGTGGTGGCTTATGCCTATAATCCCAACACTTTGGGAGGCCAAGACGAGCAGATCACCTGAGGTCAGGAGTTCGAGACCAGCCTGACCAACATGGAGAAACCCCGTCTCTACTAAAAATACAAAATTAGGCCAGGCACGGTGGCTCACACCTGTAATCCCAGCACTTTGGGAGTCTGAGGTGGGCAGATCACGAGGTCAGGAGTTCAAGACCAGTCTGGCCAACATAGTGAAACCCCATCTCTACTAAAAATACAAAAAAGAAAAAGAAAAATTAGCCAGGCATGGTGGCGTGTGCCTGTAATCCCAGCTACTCAGGAGGCTGAGGCAGGAGAATCGCTTGAACCTATGAGGTGGAGATTGCAGTGAACCGAGAGTGCGCCACTGCACTCCAGCCTGGGCAACAAGAGCGAAACTCCGTCTCAAAAAAAAAAAAAAAAAAAAAAAAAAAAGAGTAATAAAGGGAGAAGCACAATGAACCAAGGGTTTACAAATGTTGAAAAGATTAAAACTGAGATCAAACATCTGTGATAAAAAGTTATGCATAACCAGCCTGGCCAACATGGTGAAACCCCGTCTCTACTAAAAATACAAACATTAGCTATGCTGGAGGCGCGCACCTGTAATCCTAGGTACTGGGGAGGCTGAGGCAGGAGATCGCTTGAACCTGGGAGGCACAGGTTGCAGTGAGCCGAGATCACACCACTGCACTCCAGCCTGGGAGAGCGAGACTCCGTCTCAAAAAAAAAAAAAAAAAAAAAAGTTACGCATTAAAAGGTCATCAGTGAGGAGGTTAAATAGGATAGAGAGTTAAAAAAAAAATCCCGCTAGCAGCAGCTGGGGAGAGACTCTTGAAAAAGGGTTTTTAGGACATGCCAAGCTTCTAGCAAGTCCTAAAATAGGCAGGAAAGCTGCAGGCACTGTCAGCATCTGCAGGCTCCAACACTGAACCTTCACGCAGGGTCCTCTGGGCTGGGGCCTTCACTTCCATCTCAGGAGCCCTGGGGCAGAGTTCTCTGGAAGGCTGCTTCTTTAAGTGGGGCCCTGGAACCAGCTTCATCCCAACACAGGAGCTTGTGAGGCGTGTAGATTCTCCGGCCCCATCCCAGGCCACTGACTCAGCAACTGCATTTTAACAAGATCCCCAGGGGATACATTGTACATGAAAGTTTGAGAAGTGCTGCTTCAGAAAAAATACCACATCTCCTTCCTTTATTTTTAATTTATGAAGTATTATAAATAGCCAAAGAAATAATGAGAACATTATGGCAAATGCTTAGGAACCTACAACACAGATACAGCAAAAGTTAGCATTTTGATAAATTTGCTTCAGATCTATTTTCTTCTCTCCTTCCTTTAGAGGCAGAGTCTCACTCTGTCACCCAGGCTGGAGGGCAGTGGTGCAATCTCAGCTCACTGCAACCTCCGCCTCCCAGGTTCAAGAGATTCTCATGCCTCAGCCTCCCGAGTAGCTGGGACCACAGGTATGTCCATCATGCCCGGCAAATTGTTTGTATTTTTAGTACAGATGGGGTTTCACCATGTTGGCCAGGCTGGTCATGAACTCCTGGCCTCAAGTGATCCACCCACCTTGGCCTCCCAAAGTGCTGGGATTACAGGCGGAAGCCACTGGGCCTAGCCTTTCTTTCCTTAATGCAACATTAGAGGTATAGTTTCTTCCTCTCATCGTCACCTTTCCTCACAGGTCTCTTTCCTTCCCTGGAGATTGCTGCTGCTATGATGTTAGTGTGTTTCTTCCCCAGTTTGCACCTTTATTACAAATGCAAGAATCAATAAAGACAGTGTCACTCTGTGTGCATTTGATTTTACATAAATAGTCCCATACCTTATGTACCTTTCTGCAACTTGCCTCTTTAACCAGCATTATGTCTTAAAGGTTTATGCATGTTGATAAGTTCACTCATTTTAATAGCTGCATAGTATTCCTTTGATTGTATATTGTGAGATGTATTTATTAGTTCTCTTATTGAGGGACAAATAGGCTATTTCCAGTTTTTTGCCATTGAAAAAAAAAAAGCTGAAATGAACATTTGCAGGTATCTCTGTGAACATGTATGAGAGCTTCCCAGCTGCAAATATCTGGAAAAGGCTAATCCGGGTTGCCCACTATCTAGATCGTTATATTAACTAGTATTGGCAAATTGCTTTCCAAATTGGTTGAGGCTATTTACACTCCTGCCAACCACGTATGAGCATTTTTTTTTTTAAATAGAGACAAGTTCTCCCTATGTTGCCCAGGCTGGTCTCAAACCCCTGGGCTCAAAGGATCCTCCAGTCTCAGCCTCCCAAAGAGTGCTAAGATTACAGGCCTGAGCCACCACACCCGGCCCCTCTTTTTTATTTTTATTTTTTTTTTGAGGCAGGATCTCTCTCTGTCACCCAGGCTGGAGCGCAGTGGCATGATCATGGCTAACTGAAGCTTCAATCTCCCAGGCTCAAGCCATCCTCCCACCTCAGCCCCCTGAGTAGCTGGGACAACAGGCAGGTGCCACCACCAGCTAATTTTGTTTATTTTTTGTAGAGACAAGGTCTCACTTTGTTGCCCAGGCTGCTCTCAAACTCCTGGACTTAAGTGATCCTCCTGCCTCAGCCTCCCAAAGTACTAGGATTATAGGCATGAGCCACCACACCTTCTCAGCACTCTTCCATATCCAAATGCTCTCCAATGCTTGATTTTGTTGGTGTGTTAGACACTGTAGGCTGGCTAACCCAATACCTGTCTAACTCTTTCTGCCCAGCCTACCTGTATTATACATATTAGAAAACGGAACACTCACATTCTCATCTCCCCTTCATCTGGGGTGGCCACATAATGCAATCCTGGACACTGTGTCTCTCGTGTTTTATTAAGGAAAAAAAATAGAAGCACAATTGGCAAAACATCAGTGTTTGTTCAGAATCGATCATAGGTACACATGTGGGAGTTATATCATTTTCGGTTCTTTTCTGGATGTTTGAAGTATTTTGTATAGCAAAAGTTGGCTGGAAGCCATTTAAAGCTTTTGCTTTTCTGACAAAGCATGCTGATGCCTTAGTCTTGCTCTTCTCTGATTATGGCTTTAAAATGGGTGAGATGTCAGGGAGCACATCAGCTACCTCAACAACGTGTGGCTGAGCAATTGAACCGATGCTCACGTCACTTACCTCCAGAATTCTTGTTTGTTTGTGTGTTTGAGATAGGGTCTCACTCTGTTGCCCAGGCTGGAGTGCAGTGGCACGATCACAGCTCACTGCAGCTAAAACCTTCCCGAGTTTAGGTGATTCTCCCACCCACCTCCTCAGTAGCTGGGACCACAAGCTCACACGACGGCGCCTGGCCACAGACTTGTTATGTGAGAAAAAGAACTTCCTATTTGTCTGAGTCATTTAGTTAGATCTTCTACTGCTTGTAGCCTAATGCATTTCTTTTCTTTCTTTTTTTTTTTTTTTTTTTTTTTTGGAGACAGGGTCTCACTTTGTTGCCCAGGCTGGAGTGCAGGGGTGTGATCTCGGCTCAGTACAGCCTTGATCTCCCAGGCTCAAGCAATCCTCCTGCCTCAGCCTCCTGAATACCTGGGACTGTAGGTGCCCACCATCACACCCGGCTAATTTTTAAAAATTTTTATTTCTGCCCAGTGCGGTGGCTTACGCCTATAATCCCAGCACTTTGGGAGGCCGAGGCGTGTGGCGTGCCTGAGCTCAGGAGTTAGAGACCAGCCTGGGAAACACAGTGAAACCCTCTCTATTAAAATACAAAAAAATTGGCCAGGCATGGCAGCGCACGCCTGTAATCTCAGCTACCTGGGAGGCTGAGGCAGGAGAATCGCTTGAACCCAGGAGGCTAAGGTTGTAGTGAGCTGAGATCGTGCCACTGCACCCCAGCCTGGGAGAGAGAGAGGCTCCGTCTCAAAAAAAAAAAAATTATTTCTAGTAGAGACAAGGTTTTAATATGTTGTCCAGGCTGATCTCAAACTTCTGAGCTCAAGTAGTCCTCCCCTCCCACCTTGGTATCCCAAAGTGCTGGGATTATGGGCATGAGCCACCGTGCCCAGCTGCCTAATGCATTTTTGATTAAATAGGCAGGCTTGCTAATATTTGCCGATCTGAAGGATGTAAGATGGTATCTTTGTGTTTTAATATACATTTCCCTAATTACTGCAGAGATCGAGTTTCTTTTTGTCTGTTTATATGTTTCATATGTTTATTGGTCATAGAAATCATTCCTTTGTTCATTTTCCTTTTGGATGGTTTGTCCTTTTCTCATTATTTGTAGTGGTTTTTTTTTTTTTTATGGGGGGGGTTCTGGGGTTTTTTTTTTTTTTTTTTTAAGACGGAGTCTCTGTTGCCCAGGCTGGAGTGCAGTGGCATGATCTCAGCTCACTGCAACCTCTGCCTCCTGGGTTCAAGCGATTCTCCTGCCTCAGCTTCCCAAGTAGCTGGGACTACAGGTGCCCATCATCACGCCCTGCTAATTTTTGTATTTTTAGTAGAGATGGTGTTTCACCATATTGGCCAGGCTGGTCTGGAATTCCTGACCTCAAGTGATCTGCCTGCCTCCGCCTCCCAAAGTGCTGGGATTACAGGTGTGAGCCACCACGCTGGGCCTATTTGTAGGTTTTAAAAATATTTTGAAAAATAATAATAATAATAATAAAAGAAAAGTTTTGGATATCAATTCTTTCTCAGTTATATACATTACAAATATCTCTTAATTTGTAGCTTTTCTTCTCATATTATTTATGGTTTTCCATGAAAATGTACAAAAGGATTTACATTTTATTTATTTTTTTATTTTTCTTTTTTTTTTTTTGAGACGGAGTTTCCCTCTTGTTGCCCAGGCTGCAGTGCGTTTATTTTGCTTTTTTTTTTTTTTTTTTTGAGACGGAGTTTCCCTCTTGTTGCCCAGGCTGCAGTGCGGTGGCGCGATCTCGGCTCACCGCAACCTCCACCTCCCAGGTTGAAGCAATTCTCCTGCCTCAGCCTCCCAAATAGCTGAGATTACAGGCATGTGCCACCACGCCCGACTAATTTTGTATTTTTAGTAGAGATCAGGTTTCACATGTTGGTCAGGCTGGTCTCAAACCTGTGACCTCAGGTGATCTGACCACCTCAGCCTCCCAAAGTGCTGGGATTACAGGTATGAGCCACCCTGCCCGGCTTCTATTTTTTTTTTTTTTCTTTTTTTTGAGACGGAACCTCACTCTGTCACCCAGGCTAGACAGCTCAGTGAGGTGATCTTGGCTCACTGCAACCTCCGCCTCCTGGGTTCAAGAGATTCTCCTGCCTCAGCCTCCGGAGTAGCTGGGATTACAGGCCCAAAGCACCAAGCCCAGCTGTATTGCTACTTACTTTATTTTATTTTATTTTATTTTTGAGACGTACTCTCACTCTGTTGTCCAGGCTGGGGTGCAGTGGTGCGATCTCAGCTCACTGCTGCAACCTCCTCCTCCAGAGTTTAAGCAATTCTCTGCCTCAGCCTCCCGAATAGCTGGGATTACACTATGTTGCTACTTTCTAATGGTAAAATAACGTCCTTGCCTTCCTGGGATAAATACTGATTGGTAATGTTTGTTTTACACATAGTTGTATTTGGCTAGCTAATGTTTTATTCATAATTTTTGCATCTATGTAGGTGAAACTGAACTATTGGTTTCCTTTTCTTACTTTTTTTTTTTTAATGTTTTTGGCTAGGTGTGAGATTTCCCTTACAGTAGCTAGTGACTAGATTCACATGGGTTGTTGAATTTTGTTTCTTAGTTTGGGTAAGATGGAGGTTTTCTGTTCCTTAAAGTTATAAAAGTTGCCTGTGAGGACATCTGGGCTTGGTGAAGTGTTTTGTGGTTATAATTTTCTTTCTCACTAGAATTTTTTATTCAGATTCAATTTTACTTATATGTAAGTCTATTCTATTCCTCTGTCTCCCGGGTTCAAGCGATTCTCGTGCCTCAGCCTCCTGAGTAGCTGGGATTATAGGCGCCTGCCACCATGTCCAGCTAATTTTTGTATTTTTAGTAGAGACGGGTTTGACCATGTTGGCCAGGCTGTTCTCGAACTCCCGACCTCAGGTGATCCACCCACCTCAGCCTCCCAGTGCTGAGATTACAGGTGTGAGCCACCACAGCCGGCCTACTATGTTTCTTCTTGAACAATTTTGGTAATGATATTTTTCCATGTAATTGTTCACTTTATCTAATTTTTCACATGTAAAGTCTACCATACAGAGTCCAAAGCTTAAGAAGAGTTCCTCATTTCCCTTCTCTTGTAGGGATTGGACCAACAAGGACAGGTGGCAAAAAAAAAAAAAAACAAACCTAAAAAAAGATGCTTTTTTTTGTCTCTGATGAGCCACAACCTCAAAAAGACATGGGAAAAGAGCTGTTAATTTCCAAAATACCCCCACTTACATCCATTAAAGACTATCGTCGGGCACGGTGACTCACGCCTGTAATCCCAGCATCTTGGGAGGCTGAGGCAGGTGGATCATGAGGTCAGATCAAGACCATCCTGGCCAACATGGTGAAACCCTGTCTCTAATAAAAATACAAAAATTATCCGGGTGTGGTGGTGTGTGCCTGTAATCCCAGCTACTCGGGAGGCTGAGGCAGGAGAATCGCTTGAACCCAGAAATCGGAGGTTGCAGTGAGTGAGCTGAGATCACACCACTGCACTCCAGCCTGGCAACAGAGTGAGACTCTGTCTCAATAAAAAAAACAAAAAACAAAAACAACAACAACAAAAAAAATCTCTTTGTCACTTTAAATATCTTGGCTGGGTACAGTAGCTTAGACTGTAATTCCAACACTTTGGGAAGCTGAGGCAGGAGGATCACTTAAGGCCAGAAGTTTGAGACCAGTCTGGGCAACATGGAGAGACCTCCCCACTCCCTGCCCCCACCATCTCTTAGAAAAGTAAAAAAAAATCTGGAAGTGATGGTGCATGCCTGTGGTCCTAGCTACTTGGGAGGCTGAGGCAGGAGGACTGCTTGAGCCCAGGAGGTCAAGGCTGCAGTGAGCCATGATCTCACCACTGTGCTCCAGTCTGGGTAACAGAGCAAGATCCCATCTTAAAAAAACAGAACAAAACCCATTAAATATGGCCGGGCATGGCTCATGCCTGTAATCCCAGATCCCTGACAGGCTAAGGCAGGAGAATCACTTGAGGCCAGGAGTTCAAGACTAGCCTGGACATATAGTGAGACCCCTGATTCTGCAAAAATACAAAAATTAGCCAGGTATGGTGCTGCATGCCATAGTCCTGCCTGCTGGGGAGGCTGACATGGGAGGATTGCTTGAACCCAGGAGTTCAAGGTTACAGTGAGCTATGATTATGCCACTGCACTCCAGCCTGGGCAACAGAGTAAGATCCTATCTCTAAATAAAATAAAAATTTTAAACTAGCTGGGCAAGGTGGCTCACACCTGCAATCCCAGCACTTTGGGAGGCTGAGGCAGGTGGACCACCTGAGGTCAGGAGTTCCAGACCAGCCTGGCCAACATGGTAAAACCCCATCTCCACCAAAAATACAAAAATTAGCTGGGTGTGGTGGCACACACCTGTAATCCCAGGTACTCAGGAGGCTGAGGCAGGAGAATCACTTGAGCCTGGGAGGCAGAGTTTGCAGTAAGCCAAGATAGTGCCACTGCACTCCAGCCTGGGCAACAGAGTGAGACCCTGTCTCAAAAAAAAAAAAAAGCCTCATTAAACAAGGGCATTCTCAGCATATAGGAGATGGAGTGAACAAGGGCCCCCATGGCCCCATGGTAGGCAGGAAAACAAGGGTGAATTCAGGTGAAGGTGAACACCAACTTGGCAGGAAGGAGGCTTCCCTGGAACAGGCAGAGAGATAAGGTAAAAGCTTACCTTGCAGAGACTGTGACCAGGAGATGCAGACCTGGAGACCAGGCGGTGAAGGAGGTAGAACTTTATCTTGGAGTAACCTGGTCTTCAACCTTTTGCCAGTTTTATCCTGGAGTAAGCTTGTCTTCAGTGTTTTACCAAATGCACCATTTTGTGCCACCCCTCCGTTCCCTGCCCCCCACCTGTCACCTTGTCTAAGATAAATGCACCATTTTGGAGACAACTGGAGGACAGAAGAGGGGGAAAAGACACCAACTGCCTTTTCTTACTACTTATAAACCCTGTTTTGTTTGTTTTTTGTTTATTTATTTTGAGACAGAGTCTTTCTCTGTCACCCAGGCAGGAGTGCAGTGGCATGATCATAGCTTACTACAGCCTCCTGCCTCAGCCTCCTGAATAGCTGGGACTACAGACACACACCACCGTGTTCAGCTAATTATTTTTCTTTTTCTTTTTCTTTTTTGAGACAAAGTCTCACTCTATCACCCAGGCTGGAGTGCAGTGGTGTGATCTCAGCTCATTGTAGCCTCCACCTTCCAGGCTCAAGTGATTCTCCTGCCTCAGCCTCCCGAGTAGCTGGGATTACAGGTATGTGCCACCATGCCTGGCTAATTTTTGTATTTTTAGTGGAGATGGGGTGTCTCCACGTTGACCAGGCTGGTCTCAAACTCCTGATCTCAGGTGATCCACGCGCCTCGGCCTCCCAACGTGTTGGGATTACAGGCGTGAACGACTGCGCTCGGCCCAATTTTTTTATTTTTTAAGAGACAGGGGTCTTGATTTGTTGCCCAAGCCGGTCTTGAACTCTTTCAGCCTCCAAAAGTGCTGGGGTTGCAGGTGTGAGCCACAGAGCCTAACCCTGTTTGAAAATACAGTTTTAACTGGCAGAGAGGTGTTTATTCTCAGGTGTGAATAAGGCAAGAAAAATCAGAAAGTGGGTGGATCTGGGCTGGGCTTTGGTAGGAAATGCTGTGACTGTGGCCTTAGGACAAAAATGCAAAGGGTTTGGGAGATCCGGGGTTTTGCAGCTGTGTAATCTTGGGCAAGTTACTTAACTCCTAAGTCCTTGGAATACCAGAATAAGATCTCTGATTTTTAGCTGAGTTCCACAGTTTCAAATTCCTGTGGTTTGGACACAGGGACCTGGGGATCAGGGAGTGGGGAGGTGGATTTCAGAGTGATATTTTCCAGGGCCTTCTCTTTGACTTCAGTTAGCACCTATTAGATCTGACTTGTACACTGTGCACAGGGATCTGAGCAGTAACACTGTTTGGGAAGCCGAAAGATCCTGTGCTTTAAAAAAAAAACAAACAGTAAACAGTAACTGCCATGGATATTCAACAACCACTGGAATTCTAGAAACATAATGTACTAGAAAAATAAATCCCCAGTGATGTGCAAAATCGATGGGGGAGGAAGGAGACTGGCTTGTCCCTGCTCCTCAAGGTGTGGTCTGTAGACCAGCAACACCAGCATCACCTGGAAACTTGTGAGAAATGCGGAATCTCATGCCCCACCGAGATCTACTGAATCGGAATCTGGGTATTGTTGTTGATGATGTTGCTGTTGTTGTTTTTAAGAGATAGGGTCAGCCAGGTGTGGTGGTACGTGCCTGTAATCCCAGCTATTTGGGAGGCTGAGGCAGGAGAATCGCTTGAACCTGGGAGGTGGAGGTTGCAGTGAGCCAAGATCGTGCCATTGCACTCCAGCCTGGGCAACAAGAGCGAAATTCCATCTCAAAAAAAAAAAAAAAATAGATAGGGTCTTGCTCTGTGGCCCAGCCTGGAGCACAGTGGTGCCACCATAGCTCACTGTAGTCTTGAACTTCCTGGCCCAAGTGATCCTCCTGCCTCAGCCTCCCAAAGTGCCGAAATTAGGATCTGCATTTTCACTTTAAGTAATAGAAATACTTCAAGCTTGGCCGGGCTTGGTGGCTCACACCTGTAATCCCAGCACTTTGGGAGGTCAAGGTGGGAGGATCACCTGAGGTCAGGAGTTTAAGACCATCCTGGCCAACATGGAGAAACCTTGTCTCTATTAAAAATACAAAAATTAGGCCAGGCACAGTGGCTCACGCCTGTAATCCCAGCACTTTGGGAGGCCGAGGCAGGCGGATCACTTGAGGTCAGGAATTCAAGACCAGCCTGGCCAACATGGTGAAATCCCATTTCTACTAAAAATACAAAACAAAATCAGCTGGGCATGGTGGCGAGCGCCTGTAGTCCCAGCTACTCGGGAGGCTGAGGCACAAGAATCATTTGAACCCAGGAGGTGGAGGTTGCAGTGAGCCAAGATCGTGCCACTGCACTCCAGCCTGGATGACAGAGTGAGTCTCTGTCTCAAAAAAAAAAAAAAAAAAAAATTAGCTGGGTGTGTTGGCAGGCGCCTGTAATCCCAGCTACTTGGGAGGCTGAGGCAGGAGAATTGCTTGAACCCGGCATGCAGAGGCTGTAGTGAGCCAATATCATACCACTGCACTCCAGCCTGGGCGACAGAGCAAGACTCTGTCTCAAAAAAATAATTAAATAAATACTTCAAGTTTGCATTAATAAGGACCTGAACCAGGCGTTTCACATCCAGTCACCTACTGGGCTAGGGAGGTCCCATAAATAAGTGAGGAGGCCTCTTTGTGGGGAGTGGTGAATGGTTGAGAGATGCCCCCACCCCAAGGGGACAGGGGATCCTTAGCTCTGGCCCAGGAGATTGTGACTGTGGTCACGCCAGAACAGAGGCATTGCTGGGACTTATGATTTTTTTCTGATGGAGTTTCACTCCTGTTGCCCAGGCTGAAGTGCAGTGGTGAGACCTCGGCTCACTGAAACCTCTGCCTCCCAGGTTCAAGCGATTCTCCTGGCTCAGCCTCCTGAATAGCTGGGATTACAGGCACGCGACACCACGCCCGGCTAATTTTTTGTATTTTTAGTACAATTGGGGTTTCACCATGTTGGTCAGGCTGGTCTCAAACTCCTGACCTCAGGTGATCCGACCTCAGGTGACCTGCCCGCCTTGGCCTCCCAAAGTGCAGGGATTACAGGCATGAGCCAGCGCACCCAGCCTAATTTTTTTTCTTTTTTTTATTGAGACTATCATGAAACAGCATTGATTTTTCAAGAGACGCATAAAATCCAGATTCCAATGTGAAATCTCCTAACTTTTTAATCCTAACAGCCAATGTTTAAAATTATGTTTAACTTTGAGAAATTAAAAAACTGAAAAGAGAATTCTCAAACTTTTGTTCTTCTAACCCAGGATCAGGGTAGTGGGCAGATAATAGGAAGGAAGGAGGGAGGGAAGGGAAAAAAGAGCAAAGGACAAATAAACTCTAGGTAAGACAGACGCAACTGGGAGTGCCAGTCTGTAGATGTGGTAATTTACATACTATGTGCAAGAGTATGGGAACGAGTTAGGCAAGCCTCCCAGATTTCAGGAAGAGGTGCCCGGGGCAATGATGAAAGTAAAAAAGGTGGAGGGAAAGCAGGCCGCCCTCTGCGGAAGGATGGCTGGTCCCGTGTTAGATATGAAGAATGACTTGCAGGCCATCTGGCTCCGGAGCCCAGTTCTTACGCACGTCCACAGAAGGGGATATTGTGCTGCCCTTAAAAAGAATGAGGCTTATGTCTGTAATCCCAGCACTTCGGAGGCCAAGGCAGGTGGATCACTTGAGCTCAGGAGTTTGAGTCCAGCCTAGGCAACTTGGTGAAACTCCATCTCTACAAAAAATGTAGAAATTAGTTGGGCATGGTGGCACGTGCCTATGGTCCCAGCTACTCAGGAGGCTGAGGAAGGAGGATCGCTTGAACCTGGGAGGTTGAGGCTGCAGTGAGCCCTGATTGTGCAACTGCACTCCAGCCTGGGTGATAAAGCGGGACCCTGTCTCAAAAGAAAAAAAAAAAAAAAACAGAATGAGGAAGCCTTGGTGTAGGGATAGGGGAGTATCTCCAAGTCATGTTAAGTGAACCAAGCAAGGTATAGAACAGTGCATACATGGGCCTTCCTTTGGGTTTCTCTCAAAGCAAACTCAGACAAAGATTCGAGAGCAAGTACTTAATTTGGGAAGTGAGCTGGCTAAACAGCAGGAAAGGAATGGGGAAGTGAGACAGGGAAGGGAAGGCGGCCAATAACAGGTGGGTGATCCAATAAATAACTACTGAAAGCAACTGAAGCTGAATCTGGTGGAGATGCGTTGGGCACCAGCATAGAATTGGCTTCCCAGAGTTATTTCGCCAGAGGGGTGGGCAGGGGAGCAGGGTGTTAAGATGCCACCTCCTGAGAGCTTGGATGCAGGCACTCCAGAATGGGAGTAATCTCAACCCCCACCCCCACTCACTGCCTGCCACAAGGCTGCTGAGGGTCTTCCTAGTTCCCATCAATCCCTCTGGGGCAGGGGCAGGTGCATACCTGCCGGCAGGAGAAAATCTGTAGGAGCACACTGCAAAGGTGCCGGGAGAGCAGCCACAGCATGCGCTGCCCTATTGCTGTGTCAGGAAGTTCTTTTTACTTGGCTATGCAACAGAATATTTTTGTTTTGTTTTGTTTTTAGAGCTGGGGTCTCGCTCTGTCACTTAGGCTGGAATGCAGTGGTGTGAACTCCTGCACTGCAGCCTTGAACCCCTGGGCTCAAGTCGTCCTCCCTCCTCAGCCTTCTGAGTTGCTAGAATTCATTATTGAACTGCATCCAGCTCAAGAATGTACACGTATAAATATATGTATTTAGAAGAAAATACAAGAAAGCAGTAAGAATGGTTGTTGCCAGAGAGGGGAAATTGGCAGGAAGGAGGCAGGGATGCTACGGAAACTTTCATCCTGGGCCTTTTTACCTTTGAATTTGGAACCAGGTGAATGTATTCCTTATGTTTTTTGTTTGTTTGTTTGTTTGTTTGTTTTTGAGACGGAGTTTCACTCTTGTCGCCCAGGCTGGAGAGCAATGGCGCAATCTCAGCTCACTGCAACCTCCACCTCCCGGGTTCAAGTGATTCTCCTGCCTCAGCCTCCAGAGCAGCTGGGATTACAGGCGCCTGCCACCACGCCGAGCTAATTTTGTATTTTTAGTAGAGATGGGGTTTCTCCATGCTGGTCTGGCTGGTCTGGCTGGTCTCGAACTCCTGACCTCAGGTGATCCGCCCACCTTGGCCTCTCAAAGTGTTAGAATTATAGGCATGAGCCATCACACCTGGCCCCCTTGATTTTAATCAGTACAATTACAGCACAGAGTTTTAAAAATGGTCTGCAGGGGAAAAAAATAGATAAAAATGACTTGCATGTAGCATCTGAATGCAGGAAAACGAAGGTAGGAGGTGGGTCAGGAGAGCAGAGAACAGAAACAAGCAGAAGTGTTCAGATAAACTGAAGTTATGTGTGCGTACAGAGACCAGATATCTCAGATCTCTGATTCCATGCTATTTTGTAGGGTTTTTTCTTCTTCTCTCTCTCTTTTTTTTCTTCCAAGACAGAGTCTTGCTCTGTTGCCCAGGCTGGAGTGCAGTGGTGTCATCTCGGCTCACTGCAACCTCCGCCTCCCGGGTTCAAGCAATTCTCCTGCCTCAACCTCCCCAGTAGCTGGGATTACAGGCAAGCGCCACCACGCCTGGACAATTTTTGTATTTTTAGTAGAGATGGGGTTTTGCCATGTTGGCCAGGCTGGTCTCGAACTCCTGACCTCAAGTGATCCTCCCACCTTAGCCTCCCAAGATGCTAGGATTACAGGCATGAACCACCACACCTGGCCTATTTTGTATGTTTTAATAGTTAAATATGTATAGCATATAACTATGTAACGTAATGCTTTTACCTTTATCAGACCATGCATTCTATTCATACTTCTTAGTACAGACAAGACAGTAGGGTCACCAGACCCATGAGATGGGCCAAACACAGCCGCAACATTCTTCCTAAAGTATGTAAGCGGCAGCTGTTATAGATCATCCTTTCCTTGGTACCTCTAGGAGTCCTATTTAAAAAGTACCTGCATTCCTCAAATAGTCAAAACAACATTGAAAAAGAAGAGCAAAGTTGAAGGACCCATACCTCCTGATTTCACAACTTACTACAAAGCCACAGTAATGAAAGCAGTGTGATACTGGCATAAGGACAGACATAGAGACCAACAGAAGACAATAGAGAGCCCCAAAATAAACCCTTGTATTTATGATCAATTGATTTTCTTTTTTTTTCTTTTTTTTTTTTTTAATTTATTTTTTTATTGATAATTCTTGGGTGTTTCTCACAGAGGGGGATTTGGCAGGGTCATGGGACAATAGTGGAGGGAAGGTCAGCAGATAAACAAGTGAACAAAGGTCTCTGGTTTTCCTAGGCAGAGGACCCTGAGGCCTTCCGCAGTGTTTGTGTCCCTGATTACTTGAGATTAGGGATTGGTGATGACTCTTAACAAGCCTGCTGCCTTCAAGCATCTGTTTAACAAAGCACATCTTGCACCGCCCTTAATCCATTTAACCCTGAGTGGACACAGCACATGTTTCAGAGAGCACAGGGTTGGGGGTAAGGTCACAGATCAACAGGATCCCAAGGCAGAGGAATTTTTCTTAGTGCAGAACAAAATGAAAAGTCTCCCATGTCTACTTCTTTCTACACAGACACGGCAACCATCCGATTTCTCAATCTTTTCCCCACCTTTCCCGCCTTTCTATTCCACAAAGCCGCCATTGTCATCCTGGCCCGTTCTCAATGAGCTGTTGGGCACACCTCCCAGACGGGGTGGTGGCCGGGCAGAGGGGCTACTCACTTCCCAGTAGGGGCGGCCGGGCAGAGGCGCCCCTCACCTCCCGGACGGGGCGGCTGGCCGGGCAGGGGGGCTGACCCCCCCCACCTCCCTCCCGGAGGGGGCGGCTGGCCGGGCGGGGGGCTGACCCCCCCATCTCCCTCCCGGACGGGGTGGCTGCCGGGCGGAGACGCTCCTCACTTCCCAGATGGGGTGGTGGCCGGGCTGAGGGGCTCCTCACTTCCCAGTAGGGGCGGCCGGGCCGAGGCGCCCCTCACCTCCCGGACGGGGCGGCTGGCCGGGCGGGGGGCTGACCCCCCACCTCCCTCCCGGACGGGGCGGCTGGCCAGGCGGGGGTGCTGACCCCCCACCTCCCTCCCGGATGGGGCGGCTGGCCGGGCGGGGGCTGACCCCCCCCCACCTCCCTCCCGGACGGGGTGGCTGCCGGGCGGAGACGCTCCTCACTTCCCAGATGGGGTGGCTGCCGGGCGGAGAGGCTCCTCACTTCTCAGACGGGGCAGCTGCCGGGCGGAGGGGCTCCTCACTTCTCAGACGGGGTGGTTGCCAGGCAGAGGGTCTCCTCACTTCTCAGACGGGGCGGCCGGGCAGAGACGCTCCTCACCTCCCAGACGGGGTCTCGGCCGGGCAGAGGTGCTCCTCACATCCCAGATGGGGCGGCGGGGCAGAGGCGCTCCTCACTTCCTAGATGGGATGGCGGCCGGGCGGAGACGCTCCTCACTTTCCAGACTGGGCAGCCAGGCAGAGGGGCTCCTCACATCCCAGACGATGGACGGCCAGGCAGAGACGCTCCTCACTTCCCAGACGGGGTGGCGGCCGGGCAGAGGCTGCAATCTCGGCACTTTGGGAGGCCAAGGCAGGCAGCTGGGAGGTGTAGGTTGTAGTGAGCCGAGATCACGCCACTGCACTCCAGCCTGGGCACCATTGAGCACTGAGTGAACGAGACTCCGTCTGCAATCCCGGCACCTCGGGAGGCCGAGGTTGGCAGATCACTCGCGGTTAGGGGCTGGAGACCGGCCCGGCCAACACAGCGAAACCCCGTCTCCACCAAAACCAGTCAGGCGTGGCGGCGCGTGCCTGCAATCGCAGGCATTCGGCAGACTGAGGCAGGAGAATCAGGCAGGGAGGTTGCAGTGAGCCGAGATGGCAGCAGTACAGTCCAGCTTCGGCTCCGCATGAGAGGGAGACCGTGGGGTGAGGGAGAGGGAGAGGGAGAGGGAGAGGGAGAGGGAGAGGGAGAGAGAGAGCCGATCAATTGATTTTCAACAAAGGAGCCACTACCTTTTAATGTAGAAAAGACAGTTTCTTCAACAAATAGTGCTGGGAAAACTGGATATCCACATGCAAAAGAAGGAAGTTGCATCCTTACCTAACACCATATACAAAAATATTACCCAAAATGGATCAAAGACCTAAACATAACAGTTAAAACTATGAAACACTTAGAAAAAAATCTTTATGACGTTAGATTCGGCAATAATTTCATAGATAGGACTCTAAAAGTATAGGTAACGAAAGAAAAATAGATAAACTGGACTTCATCAAAATTAAAAAGTTTTGTACATCAAAAAACACTATCAAGAGAGTGGGGCCAGAAGGCACATGTTCTCAGGACTTCTTGAGGCTGTGTCTCAGAAAAAAAAAAAAAGAGAGAGGGTGAGGCTGGTCACGGTGGCTCACACTTGCAATCCCAGCACTTTGGGAGGCTGAGGTGGGAGGATCACTTGAGCCCAGGGGTTCCAGATGGGCCTAGTCAAACCCTCATCTCTACAAAAACTAAAAAATATTATATACATATACATATATATACACACATATATATATACACATATATATACATATATACATATATATACATATATACATATATATATGTGTGTGTGTATATATATATATTAGCCAGGCATGGTAGCACATGGCTGTAGTGCCAGCTACTCCAGAGGGTAAGGCAGGAAGATCGCTTGAGCCCAGGAGGTCAAGGCTGCAGGGAGCCGGGATCATGCCACTGCACTTCAGCCTAGGTGACAGAGCAAGACCTCATCTAAAAAAGAAAAGAAAAGAAAAGAAAAGAAAAGGAAAGAAAAGAAAAGAAAAGAAAAGAAAAGAAAAGAAAAGAAAAGAAAACAACTAGAGGTGGGAGGATCGCTTGAGCCCAGGAGTTCAACCAGGCTGCAGTGAGCCATGATCACACACCACTGCACTCCAGCCTGGGCGACAGAGACTCCGTCTCTAAAAAACATTTTTTTTTTTTGAGACGGAGTCTCACTCTGTCGCCCGAGCTGGAGTGCAGCAGTGTGATCTCGGCTCACTGCAAGCTCCGCCTCCTGGGTTCAAGCAATTCTCCTGCCTCAGTCTCCCAGGTAGCTGGGATTACAGGTGCCCGCCACTACACCCAGCTAATTTTTTGTATTTTTAGTAGATGGGGTTTCACCATGTTGTCCAGGCTGGTTTCGAACTCCTGACCTTGTGATTTGCACGCCTCGGCCTCCCAAAATTCTGGGATTACAGGTGTGAACCACCGTGTCCGGCCTAAAAAAATTTTTAAAACCACACAACAAGAGACAAGACAGTGAAAAGACAACTCACAGAATGGAAGAAAATAGTTGCAAAACATGTATTTGATAAAATATTAATATCCAGTATATATAAAGAAATCCTACAATTCAACAACCAAACAAACAATCCAATTCAAAAGTAGACAAAGAAAAGAAGCCAGGCATGGTGGTATGCGCCTGTAGTCCCACCTACTTGGGAAGCTGAGGATTGCTTGAGCCCAGGAGTTTGAGGCCAGCCTGGGCAACACAACAAGGCCAGGCCAGTCTCAAAAAAAAAAAAAAAAAAAAAAAAGCAAAGCCTTGAACAGATGTTTCTTTATTTTTATTTATTTATTTATTTTGAGACAAGGCCTCACTCTGTCACCCAGGCTGGAGTACAGTGGCGCAATCACAGCTTGCTGCAGCCTCTATCTCCCGGACTCAACCAGTCCTCCCATCTCAGCTTCCCTAGTAGCTGGGACTTCAGGCACACACTACACCCAGCTAGTTTTTGTATTTTGTATAGAGAAGAAGTTTCACCGCGTTACCAAGGCTAGTCTCAAACCTCCTGGGCTCAAGCAATCTGCCTGCCTCAGCCTCCCAAAGTGCTGGGATTACATGTGTGAGCCACCGTGCCTGGCCAGTGTTTCTTTAAAGAAGATAGAAAAATGGCTGGGCACGGTGGCTCATGCCTATAATCCCAGCACTCTGGGAGGCCAAGGCGGGCAGATCACTTGAGGTCAGGAGTTCGAAACCAGCCTGCCCAACATGGTGAAACCCTGTCTCTACTAAAAATACAAAAATTAGCTGGGCATGGTGGCGCATGCCTATAGTCCCAGCTACCAGGGAGGCTGAGGTGGGAGAATCTCTTGAACCCTGGAGGCAGAGGTTGCAATGAGCCGAGATCAAACCACTGCACTCTAGCCTGGGCGACAAAGTGAGACCCTGTCTCAAAATTAAAAAAAAAAAAAAAAAAAAGAAGAAGATACAGAAATGGACAACAAGCACATAAGGAGATGGTCATCGTTACTAATCATTAGGGAAATTCAAATCAAAACCACAATGAGATGCTACTTCACACACACTAGGCTAGCTATTATAGAAAATAGAAAAATAAGTGTTGGCAAGAATGGGGAGAAATTGAACCCCTTGTGCATTGCTGATGGGAACATAAAATGGTGCAGCTGCTGCAGAAAATGGTACGGCAATTCCTCAAAAATCTAAATATAGAACTGCTATATGAGTCAGCAATTCCACTTCTGGGTACATGCCCCAAAAAAGTGAAAACAAGGTCTTTCAGAGATATGCGTACACCCACATTCACAGCAGCATAGCCAAGGGGTGACAGCAACCCAAGTGTCCATCGATGGACACATTGATGAAATATGATATATGCATACAGTGGAATATTATTCAGCCTTAAAAGGCAAGGAACGTGCTCCAATACAGATGAAGCTTGAGGACGTTGCGCTAAGTGAAATCATCCATTTACAAAAAGACAAATATTATATGATTCCACTTGTATGAGGTGCCTAGAGTCATCAAATTCATAGAGACAGTAGAAGGGGCTTGCCAGGGACTGGTGGGGAGAGAACATGGGGAGTTAATGTGTCATGGGTAGAATTTCAGCTGGGGAAGATGAACGTGTTCTGGAGATGGATGGTGGTGATTGTTGCATCACAATGTGAATGTTCTTAACACCACAGAACTGTACATTTAAAAATAGTTAAAATGGGCCGGGCACGGTGGCTCATGCCTGTAGTCCCAGCACTTTGGGAGGCCGAGGCAGGTGGATCGCCTGAGGCCAGGAGTTCAAGACCAGCCCGTACAACATGGAGAAACCTGGTTTCTACTTAAAATACAAAAAATTAGTTGGGCATGGTGATGGGTGCCTGTAATCCCAGCTACTCGGGAGACTGAGGCAGGAGAATCGCTTAAACCTGGGAGGTGGAGGTTGCAGTGAGCCGAGATCGCGCCACTGCACTCTAGCCTGGCAACAAGAGTGAAACTCAGTCTCAAAAAAAAAAAAAAAAAGGTTAAAATGATATATCTTATCAAAATAAAAAAAGTAATTGCCTTGCATCATCAATAATGAGACAAAGCAGGGTGTGGTGGCTCATTCCTGTAATCCAGCACTTTGGGAGGCCTAGGCAGGAGGATTGCTTGAGCCCAGGAGTTCAAGGCCAGCCTGGGTGAGTCAGACCCCATCTCTAAAAATAAATAAATAAAGATAAAGCCTGGGCGCAGTGGCTCACGCCTGTAATCCTAACACTTTGGTAGGTTGAGGTGGGCGGATCACCTGAAGTCAGTAAGACCAGACTGGCCAACATGGCAAAACCCCATCTCTAGTAAAAATACAAAAATTAGCTGGGCATGGTGGCACGCACCTGTAATCCCAGCTACTGGGAGGCTGAGGCAGGAGAATCGCTTGAACCTGGGAAGTGGAGGTTGCAGTGAGCTGAGATCGCACCACTGCACTCCAGCCTGGGCAACAGAGTGAGACTCTGTCTCCAAAAAAAAAAAAAAAAAAAGATGAATAAATAAGACAAAGAAACAAACGAACAACATACACATTGCAGTGAGTTGTGACTGTGCCACTGCAACCTAGCTTGAGTGACAGAGAGAGACCCTGTCTCTAAAATAATAATAATGAAACAAAACAACAATAATTTTTCCTGATACGATTCACTGGGAAGGATATGACATCACATCCTTGATTCCTGTCATAAATATTTAATCTAGATCATGATGAGTAAACATTAACAAACCCAAATTGAACGACATTCTGCAGAATAAGTTACCTGGAGTTTTCAGACACATCAACATCAAAAAGAGGTGGCCTGGCATGGTGGCTCATGCCTGTAACCCCAGCACTTCGAGAGGCTGAGGCAGGCTGACCTCATGAGTTCCAGACCAGCCTGGGCAATTTGGCAAAACCTCATCTCTACAAAAAACACAAAATTAGCTAGGCATGGTGGCACGTGTGCTTGTGGTCCCAGCTACTTGGGAGGCTGAGGTAGGAGAATCACTTGAGCCTGGGAGGCAGAGGTTGCAGTGAGCCAAAATTGCACCACTGAACTCCAACCAGGGCAACAGAGCAAGATCCTGTCTCAAAAAAAAAAAAAAAAAAAAAAAAAAAAAAAAGAGAGGTAAGGAAACTGCCCAGATTAAAAGATATTAAAGAGACATAGCAACTAAATGTAACAGGCGATCTTTGATTGGACTCAGGACCAAAAAGAAAACAAATCGGCCAGGCACGGTGGCTCACACCTGTAATCCCAGCACTTTGGGAGGCCCGGGTGGGCAGATCACAAGGTCAGGAGATCGAGACCATCCTGGCTAACACGGTGAAACCCTGTCTCTACTAAAAATACAAAAAATTAGCCGGGCATGGTGGCGGACACCTGTAGTCCCAGCTACTTGGGAGGGTGAGGCAGGAGAATGGCATGAACCCGGGAGGCGGAGCTTGCAGTGAGCCCAAATTGCGCCACTGCACTCCAGCCTGGGCGACAGAGCAAGAGTCCGTCTCAAAAAAAAAAAAAAAAGAAAAGAAAAGAAAAAAATCTACAAAGGACATTATTGGGACAATTGGAGAAATTTGAATGTAGACTGAATATTAGAGACCAGTGCTAATTTAACAATGATAAATTTCCTGTGTGTGATACTGCCGTTGCATAGGAGAATGTCTTTGTTCTTTTTTTAATTTAATTTTATTTTTTGAGACAGAATCTGGGTCTGTTGCCCAGGCTGGAATGCAATGGCATGATCTTGGGTCACTGCAACCTCTGCCTCCTGGGTTCAAGCGATTCTCCTGCCTCGCCCTCCCGAGTAGCTGGGACTAAAGGCGCATGCACCACCACGCCCAGCTAATTTTTGTATTTTTTTAGTAGAGATGGGGTTTCACCATGTTGGCCAGGATGGTCTCCATCTCCTGACCTCGTGATCCACCCACCTTGGCCTCCCAAAGTGCTGGGATTACAGGCCTGAGCCACCTCACCCAGCCCCAGTTAATTTTTGTATTTTTAGTAGAGACGGGGTTTCACCATGTTAGCCAGGCTGGTCTTGAACTCCTGACCTCGTGATCTGCCCACGGGTGACGGAGTGATACTCTGTCTCAAAACAAACAAACAAACAAACACAAAACTATGGAGAAAAGTGTAAAAAAAAAAATGACCACCTTCTCAGGAGGGTACTAACTGGGAAGAGGCATGAGGAAAATTTCTCGAGTGATGGAAACACTATATGTTGAACACGGTGGTGGTCTCATGGGTGTATACAGGGATAGAAATTCATCCAGATGCATAAATTGAGCTTCAACAAAAAAATTAAATATTAATAGTATTGAAGACTGTTCTTGGGCTTTGACCCACTGGCCACAACTTCTTGTTGGCCTAAGGCCTTCGTGCTCTATGTTTGAGTGTAGTAACACTCATGCTCTATGTTTGAGTATAGTAACACTCAAAAAAGGGTGGTTATTGTACCTTCGGAGCTGGGTTATGGCTGACCCTCCCAGGCTCTGGGCAGCTACTGTGGTGCCCCACCTGCAGGAAGCAGAGAGGAGCCAAGATTGAAAGGGAGTATTAACTCCCGGAAAGGACGGGATTTACTAGCAGGAAAAGGAAAAGTTTTGTGTAAAGCACATGGCACCGGGCTGGGAACCTTGCGTTTCCTCCTTAGGGCTTTCTGACTCATGCTTCCCTCTGCTCTGTTTCAAGGTCTTTGCACACCTGCCTCTTCTTGGTCCCAGGACCAAGGTGCCTCCTTAGAGAGGCCTTCCCTGATGCTTCACCAAACATGGTACCCACCTGTATTCACTGCCATCCTGCTCCATTTGATTCCTAAGTCACAATTTGCAATGATCTCTCTTTTGTATTTGTTGACTTGTCCCTAACTCTATTTTAATTGCAACCTCCTAAAGAGCAAGGACTTTAGGTACCACCGGGCTTAGCACGGTCCCCAACTGGAAGTAAGCGCTCTGCCAACATTGATGGCATCAGTAAATAGTATCTGTTAATAAAATGGGGAAATTATTGATATTGTTGAATCAAAGGAGTAGAGGGTGTTTTTTCTTTCTTTCTTTCTTTCTTTTTTTTTTTTTTTTCCTGAGACGGAGTCTTGCTCTGTCGCCCAGGCTGGAGTGCAGTGGCGCAATCTTGGCTCACTGAAACCTCTGCCTCCCGGGCTCAAGCGATTCTCCTTCCACAGTCTCCCAAGTAGCTGGGACTACAGGCATGCACCACCATGCCCTGCTAATTTTTGTATTTTTAGTAGAAACAGAGTTTCACCATATTGGCCAGGCTGGTCTTGAACTCCTGATCTCAAGTGATCCACCTGCCTCGGCCTCCCAAAGTGCTGGGATTACAGGGGTGAGCCACGGTGCTGGCCTTAGAGGGTAGTTTTGAGAAAGAGCTTAGAGGGGGCTGAGGAGTGGCAGAAGTCAGGTATTCATGGAGGGAAGGGGAGTGTGGAGGGGAGGGGAGTACAAGGGCGGCGAGAATGAGAACAAAGTCAGCAGGATTAGTGTGTGTTGATGGAGATTGAGGTTGATGGGAAATTTCAAAGCTTAGTGAAAATAGCTCCAGATCAATAGAGATGGGGATCTTAGGACTATAATTCCTATGGTGGTCTCAAACTCTGGGGCTCAAGGGATCCTCCTGCCTTGGCCTCCCAAAGTGCAAGGATTATAGGTGTGAGCCACTGCACCCAGCCAATAATTATTATTTATGGCTGCCATTTAGTGTTTCCTACAATCTTTTGGGGAAAGGACTACCTGCGGGAACTCAAGCAAGTTGTTTATTTATTTCTTTACTTTGAAACAGGGTCTCACTCTGTCATCCAGGCTGGAGTGCAGTGGCTTGAACATGGCTCACTGCAGCCTCAACCTCCCGGGTTCAAGCAATCCTCATCCCCCCAAGTAGCTAAGACTACAAGCATTCACCACCACACCCGGCTAATTTGTTTTGTAATTTTTGTAGCGACAGGGTCTCGCTATGTTGCCCAGCTTGGTCTTGAACTCCTGGGCTCAAGTGATCTGCCTGCCTGGGTCTCCCAAAGCGCTGGGATTACAGGCATGAGCCACTGTGCCTAGGCAAATTATTAACCTCCCTGAGCCTCAGTCTCCCTTGGTCACATGGGGGCAATAAATGTGCCTACCTCATAGGTTGTTGTGAGGATTAAGCAAAAATAACAGTTGCAAAGTCTTTGGAACAGTCTGTAGCTGGATCACAGTAAAGTGCTCAATAAATGTCACTACCATTATCATTTTTAAAAAATATTTTGTATTTTTTGAGACTGAGTCTCACTCTCTTGCCCAGGCTGGAGTACAGTGGCGTGATCTCAGCTCAGTGGAACCTCCTTGATTCAAGCGATTCTCCGGCCTCAGCCTTTCAAGTAGCTGGGACTACAGGTGCATGCCACCACACCCAGCTAATTTTTGTATTTTTAGTAGAGATGGGGTTTTGCCACGTTGGCCAGGCTGGTCTCGAACTCCTGACCTCAGGTGATCCACCCACCTTGGCCTTAAAGTGCTGAGATTACAGGCATGGGCCACTGCACTCGGCCTTACTATTATTATTTTTTCACTATTATTGTAATTGACCCATTTCACAGGTGAATAATTTGATGCCCAGAGAGGCTAAGTAACTTTTCCAAGCTGGTATAGCTGGGTTTTTTTCCAGTCTGGCTCTCCTGTCTGTCCCCACTGCCACAGAATTAATTCCTCACTTCCCACCCATACTTTTTTTTTTAACCTTTTCAGTAGTCTTCTTTCCATCTGTCTCTTCCCACACGTCTCCACCCTCCATGGTGTGATCTTGGCTCACTGCAACCTCCACCTCTTGGGTTTAAGTGATTCTCCTGCCTCAGCCTTCTGAGTAGCTGGGATTATAGACGTCCACCAGCATGCCTGGCTAATTTTTTTTATTTTTATTTTTTAGTAGAGACAGAGTTTTGCCATGTTGGCCAGGCTGGTCTTGAACTGCTGACCTCAGGTGATCCATCAGCCTCGGCCTCCCAAAGTACTGGGATTACAGGCATGAGTCACCGAGCCTGACCCCTAAGAAACATTTTAAATGCCTACATGGAGTGTTAGTGGACACTCCAGGTGCACCCTCCACATGCTGAAAGGTCCCATGACCACTTCTGTGGGTCACCACCCTGGATTCTCTGGGCTTTTGCTTCCAAAGGCTTACATCTATATTCTCTTTGAAGAATTGTCCTCAGGCTACTGGAACTGCTCTGCCTAAAAACACAAAGAGGCTAGGAGCTTACTGTCTTACTGTGTTACTTGTCTTGACTGACAAGTGCTGTGATATGAGGCCCAGCTCCCTTGCCTTGAGTAGGAACAAACTTGGAGATACAATTTATTCTCCAGAACTCCATGCAGATCAGGCTAAGGCTGAGACCTTACCTAAAATCACCCATCTCTCTTTTTTTCTTTTTTAAGACAAGGTGTCTCCGTCACTCGGACTGGAGTGCAGTGGTGCAATCATGGCTCACTGCAGCCTTGAACTCCTGGGCTCAAGTGATCCACTTGCCTTGGTCTCTCAATGTGTTGGGATCACAGATGTGAGCCACCACACCCGGCCCATCACCCTCCTTTTAGCTCCTTCTCCTTTCCTATTCTACTTTCCCTTACTGTGAGAAATTCCCTTACCAGGACAGGCATGGCAGCGCGTGCCTGTAATTCTAGCACTCTGGGAGGCAGGAGGATCTCTTGAGTCCAGGAGTTCAAGACCATCCAAGGCAGCAAGAAAGACACTCCCTTTACCAGTTTCTCTTGGGAGCCTTTCCTTTATAAATTACTCACAAACAAACCTTTATCTCAGATCTGCTTCTAGGGAATTTTATTCTATTATTAGTTTTTTTGAGATGGAGTTTCGCTCTTGTTACCCAGGCTGGAGTGCAATAGCACAATCTCGGCTCACTGCAAACTCTGCCTCCCAGGTTCAAGCGATTCTCCTGCCTCAGCCTCCGAGTATCTAGGATTACAGGCATGTACCACCATGCCCAGCTAATTTTGTATTTTTAGTAGAGACAGGGTTTCGCCCTGCTGGTCAGGCTGGTTTTGAACTTCCGACCTCAGTTGATCCACTTGCCTCAGCCTCCCAAAGTGCTGGGATTACAGGTGTGAGCCACTGCGCCCGGCCTTTTTTTTTTTTTTTTTTTTTTTTTTTTGGGGACAGAGTCTCACTTTGTTTTCCAGGCTGGATTGCAGTGGTACGATCTTGGCTCACTGCAACCTCTGCCTTCCAGGTTCAAGAGATTCTCCTGCCTCAGCCTCCCGAGTAGCTGGGATTAAAGGTGTGTGCCACCACACCTGGCTGATTTTTGTATTTTTAGTAGAGACGGTGTCTCACCATGTTGACCAGCCTGGTCGTGAACTCCTGACCTCAAGTGATCCACCCGCTTCGGCCTCCCAAAGTGCTGAGATTATAGGCATGAGCCACTGCACCCGGCCTAATTTTTAAATTTTTGTTAAGATGGGCTCTCCCTGGTTCTGCTGAGAGAGCAAAACACAGAACAAAAATTTAAAAAATAAAAAGAGCAAGATAAAACAAAACAAAAAATTAAAAAAAAAAAAAAAAGAGAAGGAGACAGGGTCTTCCTATGTTGCCCAAACTAATCTCAAGGTCCTGGACTCAAGCGACCCTTCTGCCTCAGCCTCCCAAAGTGCTGAGACGGCGGGTGTGAGCTGCCTCACCCGGCCATGAACGCAGTTTTGCACCATCATTTTCCTCTTTACTCCCTTTATCTGGGTGAGTACTAATTTCTGTGGCATGTGTTATTGGCGAAGGTCCCGTCAATGATGAAGATGATGTCCTCCAGCATCCGGTGTCCTCTCCATGCACTATCCTCTCTCCGCTTACTCCCAGTCTCCTTTGCTGAAGGAGTTCTCAGGGGCTCCTTCCTGCGCTTTTAGCGCTCTCCATCTGCACGCTCTCCCTAGATGATCCTTTTGAATCTCTTGGCTTTAAATATTACATACTGTTGATGACTCCCATGTACATAACCATAACCCTAGCCCAGTCTCCTCCCTGTGCCTGTGTGAATGAATCTGGATGCAGATATTCAACTTCCTACCCAATGATTCCTCTGGGATTGTCACAGATGGAAGTCTCCTAGGCTGTCCCCCATCACAACTGCATCTCCCTCCATGCCCCTGGTCTGTAAAATGGCCCCTCGTCCACCTGGCTGCCCAACTCCAAACCATGAAGCTATCCTGATTCCTCTTTTTTTTCATCTTCCATGTATAGCCTATTAGCAAGCACTGTCAGTATTATCTTTTTTTATTTTTATTATTTTTTTTTTGAGACAGGGTCTCGGTCTGTCACTCAGGCTGGAGTGCAGTGTTGTGATCTCGGCTCACTGCAACATCTGCCTCCTGGATTCAAGTGATTCACCCGCCTCAGCCTCCCGAATAGCTGGGACTTTAAGCATGTGCTGCCATGCCTGGCTAATTTTTGTATTTTTAGTAGAGACAGGGTTTCACCATGTTGGCCAGGCTGGTCTCGAACTCCTGACCTCAAGTGATCTGCCCACCTTGGCCTCCCAAAGTGCTGGGATTACAGGCATGAGTCACCATGTCCAGCCTGTCTTTAAAATATATCTTGAGGCTGGGTGTGGGGGCTCACGCCTGTAATCCCAGCACTTTGGGAGGCTGAGGCCGGTGGATCACCTGAGGTCAGGAGTTTAAGACCAGCCTGGCCAACATGGAGAAACCCCATCTCTACTAAAAATAAAAAATTAGCCGGGTGTAGTGGCACGCGCCTATAGTCCCAGCTACTTGGGAAGCTGAGGCAGGAGAATCACTTGAACCCGGGAGGCGGAGGTTGCAGTGAGCCGAGACCACACCACTGCACTCCAGCCTGGGCTACAGAGTGAGACTCCGTCTCAAAAAAAATAAAAAATAAAAATAAAAATAAAAAACGGCCGGGCGTGGTGGCTCACACCTGTAATCCCAGCACTTTGGGAGGCCGAGGCGGGCGGATCACGAAGTCAGGATATTGAGACCATCCTGACTAACACGGCGAAACCTTGTCTCTACTAAAAATACAAAAATTAGCCGGGTGTGGTGGCGGGCACCTGTAGTCCCAGCGACTTGGGAGGCTGAGGCAGGAGAATGGCCTGAACCCGGGAGGCAGAGCTTGCAGTGAGCCCAGATCGCACCACTGCACTCCAGCCTGGGTGGCAGAGGGAGACTCCGTCTCAAAAAAAAAAAATTTAAAAAAATAAAAGTATATCTTGAATTTGCTCCTTATTTCCACCTCCACTGCTCTTACCCTAGGCCAAACCACTGTCTTCCACCTGAACTCCTGTAATTCCTGTTCTATTTGCTTTACACTTGGCCCCTTCAATCCATTCTCCCTCCCCAGCCAAAGAGATCTTCTCAAAACCCAAATAGGTCAGGCATGGTGGGTGGCTCACACCTATAATCTCAGCACAGCACTTTGGGAGGCCGAGGCAGGTTAATCACTTGAGTCCTGGAGTTTGAGACTAGCCTGGGCAACACAGGGAGATGCCATGTCCTTTTATCTAAAAAAAAAAAAAAAAGTTTTTAATTTTTTGTTTTGTTTTATCTTGCTCTTTTTCTTTCTGTCTTTTTTTTTTTTTTTTTTTTTTTTTTGGGACAGAGTCTCACTCTCTCACCAGACTGGAGTGCAGTGGCGCGATCTCGGCTCACTGCAACCTCTGCCTCCCGGGTTCAAGTGATTCTCCTGCCTCAGCCTCCCAAGTAGCTGGGACTGCAAGGGCACGCCACTACACCCAGCTAATTTTTGTATTTTTAGTGGAGACGGGGTTTCACGATGTTGGCCAGGATGGTCTCCATCTCTTGATCTTGTGATCCGCCTGCCTCAGCCTCCCAAAGTCCTGAGATTACAGGTGTGAGCCACCATGCTCGTCCTCTTTGTTTCTATTTTGTTGTTGCTGTTGTTCTGTATTTTGCTCTCAGCAGAATCCGGGACACTTCATCTGGACAAAAATTAAAAATTAAGCCAGGTGTGTTGGCACGGACCTGCAGTCCCAACTACTAGGGAGGCCGAGGTGGGAGAATCGCTTGAGCCCAGGAGTTCGAGGCTGCGGCAAGCCATGATCACACCACTGCACTGCAGCCTGGGCGACAGAGTGAGACCCTGTAACAGCAACAACAAAACATAAACCCCTGCTCAAACCCTTTACTGACTCCCCATCATATTTAGGAGGCTTGCTTTTCCTGGCCCCTTCATTACCTTTTCTGTAATCTCATCTCATCCCATTCTCCCTCCTACTTTCCACATTCCAGTCACACTGACTGCTTTTCAATTCCTCAAACATGGCAAGTTCTTTCCTGCCTCAGGACCTTTGCTCTTGCTATTGTACTTCCTGAAATGTTCTTCTCCCAGGTCTTTGCATAATTGGCTTGGCTGAGTCTCAGCAATAATGTCACCTTCTTCATCCTTTATCTTCTTACCTAAGTTGCCTGCCAAGTTCGATCAAAGCCTGTTCCTCTTGTTCTTTTTAAATTTATCACTAACGTAGTAATAATAATTATTGTTTTTAGGTTTTCACTATTTATTTATGACAAGTATTCCACATTCAATATGCTCTCCAGTCAACAGTTATTTGAGGCCAGGCACAGTGGCTCATGCCTGTAATCCCAACATTTTGGGAGGCCGAGAGGAAGCATATAAGAGCCCGGATGCTGGTAGGTATGGGAAGACAGAAGATAACTCACTGCATAACCAACACCTGGCGGGGCTCCTGGTACTCGGTGGACTTGTGTTCTACGACATGAGATGGCAGCCAAGAAATAAACAAAAAATAATTAAGTGCTTTATCTGCTCATATGAGGTGTGGTGGCAACAGGTGTGGCCTCAACATGCAGAATAATGCTAGTGAGTTTGTGGACGTATATGAAATGCTCCACCAGCAACTGCATCATCAGCATCAAAGACTACACCTCCATCCGGATAAATGTGGCTGAGGTTGATAAAGTCACGAGCAGGTTTAATGGCCAGTTTAAAACCTATGCTTTCGGTGGGGCCATTTGAAGAATGGGCAAGTGAGATGATCTATTCTCCCATCGTCCAATGCTGATGGCATTGCTGATGGCATTGTCTCAAATAACTTTTTTAAGACACTGTGCCCGACCCTTCTTCTGTCTTCCCATACCTACCAGCATGCAGGTTCACTGGGGGCAGACCTAGTAAGTTTGGCTTTTTTTTTTTTTTTTAGATGGATTCTTGCTCTGTTGCCCAGGCTGGAGTGCAGTGGCATGATCTTGGCTCACTGCAACCTCCACCTCCCGGGTTCAAGCAATTCTCCTGCCTCAGCCTCTCAAGTAGCTGGGACTACAGGCGCACGCCACCATGCCTGGCTAATTTTTGTATTTTTAGTAGAGACGAGGTTTTACCATTTTGGCCAGACTGGTCTTGAACTCATGACCTCAAGTGATCCGCCTGCGTCAGCCTCCCAAAGTGCTGGTATTACAGGAGTGAGCCACTGCGCCTGGCCAGTAAGTTTCTTTTTGTTCATTTGTTTGTTTTTTTTTTGTGACAGATTTTCGCTCTTGTTGCCCAGGCTGTAGTACAATGGTGTGATCTTGGCTCACTGCAACCTCCATCTCTGGAGTTCAAGCGATTCTCCTGCCTCAGCCTCTCGAGTAGCTGGGATTACAGGCATGCACCACCACGCCTGGCTAATTTTGTATTTTTAGTAGAGACGGGGTTTCTCCATGTTGATCAGGCTGGTCTCAAACTCCCGACCTCAGGTGAACCACCCGCCTCAGCCTTCCAAAGTGCTGGGATTACAGGCATGAGCCACTGTGTCCTGCCCAGTAAGTTTCTTATCCATCATTTTGTCAGTGGTGTCTAGCTCAGTGCCTGCCAGGTAGCACATGACCAATGAAGAGTGTCTGTACTAACTTATAGGAGGTGAGTTAGTGGTGCAGCCAACACTCTGGGCACAAAGGACTCGAATTCCAAGTGACCTTACAAACTAGAGACCTTATCAAAAACAGAGAATGGAAAAATATCACCTAGGGAAAGACTGAGTGTTTGATATTATGGCTCAAAAACCAATTGTGGGCTCAATTCTACAGCTAGATTAGGCTTCTTATATGGTATTTGTAAAGGGCTATAAAAAAACATCTGCAGGAAGCACGTTCACATCAATTACCTCATTTAATCCTCATACCAACCTAGGCAGTGGATAGGGCAGACGAAATTGTCTTAAGTTTACATACTAGGAAACCTAAATGTAGTTTGGTTATATGATTTCCCCAAGGTCACTGAGCAAGGCAGAGGCAGGCCAGGGACCCTGTGCCTTTTCTCGCCAAGGCTGCATGAGGTGTATAACTCATTTATTCTAGGATCAAAGAAATATTCAAACTTAAACCTTCACATCCTGCAGTACAGACACATCCCTCTTTTCTAAGGCACACATTCCTGGAGACAGCACCTGGGACCCATTCAAGACCCTGAGCCTTTTCTTGTGCCCCAGGCCCCACCTCAGACAGAGACCAAGCTGTTTGAAACAGGGAACAAGCCCAGCCGCGGTAGCTCACACCTATAATCCCAGCACTTTGGGAGGCTGAGACGGGGCGGGGGGAGGTGGGGATCACCTGAGGTCAGGCGTTTGAGACCAGCCTGGCCAACATGGAGAAACCCCGTCTCTACTAAAAACACAAAAATTAGCCAGGCGTGGTGGTGGGTGCCTGTAATCCCAGCTACTCGGGAGGCTGAGGCAGGAGAAACGCTAGAACCTGGGAGGTGGAGGTTGCAGTGAGCCAAGACTGTGCCTTTGCACTCCAGCCTGGGCAACAAGAGGGAAACTCCATCTCAAAAAAAAAAACAAAAAACAACTTTTTGTAGTATACATACAGAGAAACACACTTAAGTGTGCAGGTTAATGAAATCTCACAAAGTGAATATGCCTGTGTGCCTAGCACCCATAGCAAGACATCACACATGGCCAGCTCTTCAGAAGACCCCTGTGCCTTTGCTTAGTCACTATGCCCCCAGAGGGTGACAGTATCCCAAATTCCAACAGTTTTGTTTGCCTCTTTTCTTTAAAAACAAAACAAAACAAAACAAATTTGCTGTCATCCACTTCCTGTTTGAAACTCTTTTCTTTTTCTTTTCATTTTACCTGTCCCTCCCATTCAACCTCTTTTCTACTTTATATAACTACTGATAGATTTTTGTCCTTTTTCCTTATTTCCCCCTCAAAGACTAAGTGTGTCCATGAGGGTCTAGGTTAAATTCCCTTATTGAAAAAAGCTTCCCTCCCTTTCCTCCTTCCTTCCTTCCTTCCTTCCTTCCTTCCTTCCTTCCTTCCTTCCTTCCTTCCTTCCTTCCTTCCTTTCTTTCTTTCTTTCTTTCTTTCTTTCTTTCTTTCTTTCTTTCTTTCTTTCTTTCTGTCTTGACAAGGTCTTGTTCTGTCTCCCAGCCTGCTAGGCTGACGCGATCTCGGCTAACTGCAACCTCCACCTCCCGAGTTCAAATGATCCTCCCACCTCAGCCTCCCCAGTAGGTGGAACTACAGGCGTGCACCACGATGACTAGCTAATTTTTTTTTTTTCTTTTTGAGATGGAGTTTTGCTCTTGTTGCCCAGGCTGTAGTGCAATGGTGCAATCTCAGCTCACTGAGACCTCCGCCTCCTGGGTTCAAGTGATTCTCCTGCTTCAACCTCCCGAGTAGTTGGGAGGCACATGCCGCCACGCATGGCTAATTTTGTATTTTTAGTAGAGATGGGGTTTCACCATCTTGGCCAGGTGGCCTTGAACTCCTGACCTCAGGTGATCTGCATGCCTTGGCCTCCCTAAGTGCTGGGATTATAGGCGTAAGCCATCGCGGCCGGCTAATTTTGTATTTTATATAGACACGGAGTTTCACCATGTTGCCCAGGCTGGGCTTAGACTCCTGGGCTCAAGCCATCCACCCACCTCAGCCTTCCAAAGTGCTGGATTACATGTCTGCGCCACAGTGCCCAACCCAAAAGTCTCATTTCTATACCCTGGCACTGGAGCCTTCTGTGTTTTGCCTGTAACCTATGTTTTCCACTTGGCTTATCTGATGGTTAATTATATGTATCAACCTGTCTGGGCTAAGAGATGCCCAGATAGCTGGTAAAACATTATTTCTGGGTCTGACTGGGACGGTGTTTGCAGAAGAGATAAGCATTTAAATCAGTAGACAGAAAAGTTCCACTTTCACCCACGTGAGCAGGCATCATCCAATCCACTGTGGGTCCAGACAGAACAAAAAGGCAGGGCGAAGGCACATTTGCACCCTCTTCTGGAGCAGGGCCATTCATCTTCTCCTGCCCTTGGACATCACAGCTCCAGGAACTCAGATCTTCAGACTCAGGGTGAAGGACACCACCAGCTTTCCAGGTTCCCCAGCTTGCAGACGGCATACGGTGGGACTTCTTGGCCTTTAGAATCACGTGAGCTAATTCCTGCAATAAATCCCCTCTTTCATATCCTCTTTTTTTTTTTTTTTTTTTGAGACGGAGTCTCACTCTGTCGCCCAGGCTGGAGTGCAGTGGCGTGATCTTGGCTCACTGCAAGCTCCGCCTCCCGGGTTCAGTCCATTCTCCTGCCTCAGCCTCCCAAGTAGCTGGGACTACAGGCGCCTGCAACCACGCCCGGCTAATTTTTTGTAATTTTAGTAGAGACGGGGTTTCACCACGTTAGCCAGGATGGTCTCGATCTCCTGACCTCATGATCCGCCCGCCTCGGCCTCCCAAAGTGCTGGGATTACAGGCGTGAGCCACCGCGCCTGGCCCATATCCTTTTATATATCCCTCTATATATCCTGTTGGTTCTGTTTCTCTGGAGAACCTTGACTAATTCAGTTTCCAATTCTCCAGAACCCTGGGGGTTAATCCTGAGTTCTTTCCCTTCGCATTTCACCTCTCATCAGCGGGCAGCCCCTGTTGGTTTGGTGGAACAAGTAAAGTCATTGAGTACTAACTGAGTACTTCAGTAGTAACCGAACTGAGAACTTACTGTGTGGTAGGCACCACGTGAGGAGCTGGCATACAGAATTAAATAAACCAAGACCTCTGCCCTGGATGCACTGACAATTAGTGAGGGAGAGAAACAGAAAAACAACTTATTTCCATACATTTCTTTCTAAATGCTGTGATGCATGGAGGGAGTATACTTGCACCAGCCTAGGGACTCGGGGTGGTTCCAGGAGAGGCCAAGGTGGGACTTTCTGAGCAAGAATGATCCAGAGGACATTAAGGAGATCCAGGCAGTAGAAATGTGATGGCCTTGAGGAGCTTTTGCAGGGACAACAGAAATGGACATAGCCACACTCTCCTTATCCCCAACACCTTTTTTGAAGGGAGCAGGAGGAAGAAGAATCTGAGAAGAAAGAAAAAAATACAGTCAGAGAAGTAGAAGAACCACTAGGAAATGCAGTCACAAAGTCAAAAGAAGAGAGATTATCCTGAGAGAATACAGCTGTGCCAAATGCCTCCAGAAAATTAAGATGCATATGCAAAAGATTCCCTGGATTGTGCAATTTTGAGGGCATGGCTAATTTACCTGGGCAGTTTCAGAGGAATACAAGAATGCAGCCCAGATTGCCTGGGGTAAAGGGAGGAAGGAAGTGAGGAGGAGGAAATAAATACTGTACGTGGCTTTTTTGAGAAGCTGAGCTGAGAAGGGGAGATGATTGTGGGAACTGGGAGGATGTAAACTTTCCAAAGACAAGGGTGGTAGGGCCGAGCGTGGTGACTCATGTCTGCAATCCCAGCACTTTGGGAGGCTGAGGCGGGAGGGTCACTTGAGCCCAGGAGTTCGAGACCAGCCTGGGCAACATACCCATCTTAAGAAAAAATAAAGAAAGGGAGGTCAGCATTGAAATATGGAGGACACCCAAAGGAGGGGTCTTCAGTACTCGAGGCAGGGAAGAGAGGTCCCTCATGGGAAAGTGGGGTCGTGGATAAGGGGAGGTGGGGGATGAGGAAATGCCCTTCTCATGACCAGTTGCCAAAAATCAGGAAGCAAGGTTATTTGCTGGGAGTAGGGGAGAATGGTTAGGTAAGGAATTTGGGGTCATTCGAGGGTAAGAGGTTACTTCCATTAGCTGGGCTTCAGATCTGCCGGAGCTGCAGAGTGAACTGGGGTGGAGGAGGCAGAAGCAAACCCTGCTTCTTTGAGCCCCTTGGGCATAGATCCGTGCCCACCAGTGTGCTTTTGTGTCAGACAGATTCCAGAACTAACATTCTGAGTTCAGGGTGTGTGCATTTAAACGCTCTCTTTTTTCAAGGGGTAGGGGGTTGTGGGGGAGACAAGGTCTCACTCTGTTGCCCAGGCTGGAGTGGCACTTAATGCCACTGAGTGGTACACTTAAAAGTGGTTAAAAAGGTAAATTTTGGCTGGGCGTGGTGGCTCACACCTGTAATCCCAGCACTTTGGGAGGCCAAGGCAGGTGGATCACCTGAGGTCAGGAGTTCGAGAGCAGCCTGACCCACATGGTGAAACCCCATCTCTACTAAAAATACAAAAATTAGCCGGGTGTGGTGGCGCATGCCTGTAATCCCAGCTACTCAGGAGGCTGAGGCAGGAGAATCGCCTGAACCCAGGAGGCAGAGGTTGTAGTTAGCCAAGATCATGCCATTGCACTCTAGCCTGGGCAACAAGAGCAAAACTCTGTCTCAAAAAAAAAAAAAGTTAATTTTATTATACATATATTTTATCACAATGAAAAAAGGAATGAAATATTGAAGCACACTACAATGTAGTTGAACCTTGAAAACATGGGAAGTGAAAGAAGCCAGTCACAAAAGACCACATATTAGTATATAATTCATATAATTCCATTTATACTAAATGTTCAGAATAGTCAAATCCATAGAAAGAGAGTGAAGATTAGTGGTTGCCGGGGCTGGGGGAAGAGGAGAAATAGGAAATGACTGCTAATAGATATGGAGTTTCTTTTAGGAGTGATAAAAATGTTCTAAAATTAGTGGTACTTGTACAGCTTTGTGAACATACTGAAAACCACCAAATTGTATACTTTACAATTGTTTACTTTTTTTGTTTGTTTGTTTTTGACACTGAGTCTTGCTCTATTGCCCAGGTTGGTGCGCAGTGGTGCGATTTCAGCTCACTGCAACCTCTGCCTCCCAGGTTCAAGTGATTTTCCTGCCTCAGCCTCCCAAGTAGCCGGGACTACACGTGTATGTCACCATGCCTGGCTAATTTTTGTAGTTTTAGTAGAGACAGGGTTTCACTGTGTTCACCAAGCTGGTCTCCAACTCCTGACCTCAAGTGGTCCACCTGTGTCGGCCTCCCAGAGTGCTAGGATTATAGGTGTGAGCCACCAGGCATGGCCACAATTGTTTACTTTAAATGATATATTCTAAAATGTATACCTTAAAATGGGAGTATTATGGGTACATGAATTATATTTCAAAAAAAATAAAAGCAAGCCTGGCGGTGGAGTGGGGAGAAGCCTACGTGGTATACATGCTATACGGTGCCTATCTCATAGATCATTCAGCCATTCCCTGATCGATGGATGTTTAGGTTGTTTTCAGGTTTTTTGTTTTTGTTTTGCTACTTGAAACAATGCTTCAATGCACATCATTGAACACGCACGCACGCACACACACACACACACACACACACACACGTCATTTCAGGCAGGTCTTGGTCCTGCCACGCAGCCCTAGATCTGTTATGTCTTAGTATGAGACAGATGTAGAAAGTGTGAATTCTGCTGACATCAAGAGATGGTGCAGGCCAGGAGTGGTGGCTCACTCCTATAATCCCAGCACTTTGGGAGGCCAAGGCAGGTGGTTCACTTGAGGCCAGGAGTTTGAGACCAGCCTGGCCAACATGGTGAAACCCTGTCTCTACTAAAATTACAAAAATTAGTGGGGGGTGGTGGCAAACACCTCTAATCCCAGCTATTTGGGAGGCTGAGGCAGGAGAATTGCTTGAGCCAAGATTGTACCACTGCACTCCAGCCTGGCCAACAGAGCAAGACTCCGTCTCAAAATAAATAAATAAATAAATAAATAAATAAATAAAATGGCTTTTACAGATGAACATTTGCCATCAATTTGATGATAGGAAAGACTAACTTTGAACCCCAAGTAAGCAAAATCTTATTTTCCCCACCCCCCAAATTCTATTATTTTCATTAGTAGACCTGTATTATAAAAATATTATGCTCAATATGACTGGGCACGGTGGCTCACGCCTGTAATTCCTAGCACTTTGGGAGGCGGAGGCAGATGGATCAAGAGGTCAGGAGTTCAATACCAGCCTGGCCAAGATGGTGAAACCCTGTCTCTACTAAAAATACAAAAAATTAGCTGGGTGCGGTGGCAGGCGCCTGTAATCCCAGCTACTCGGGAGGCTGAGGCAGGAGAACCGCTTGAACTCAGAGGGAGGAGATTGCAGTGAGCCAACATCCCACCACTGCACTCCAGCCTGGGCGACAGAGTGAGACTCCATCTCAAAAAACAAAACAAAACAAACAAAAAAATATATTATGCTCAATCATTATTATATTTTGAATTTCATCAATAAGAAATCTGTGGAAATTTGTTTTCTATCATTATATAAGTACTGTCACCTTTTTTTTTTGAGACGGAGTTTCGCTCTTGTTGCCCAGGCTGGAGTACAATGGTGCGATCTCAGCTCACTGCAACCTCCACCTCCCAGGTTCAAGTGATTCTCCTGCCTCAGCCTCCCAAGTAGCTGGGACTACAGGCATGCGCCACCATGCCCGGCTAATTTTGTATTTTTAGTAGAGACGGGGTTCACCATGTTGGTCAGGCTGGTCTCGAACTCCTGACCTCAAGTGATCCACCCATCTCGGCCTCCCAAAGTGCTGGGATTACAAGCGTGAGCCACGGCGCCTGGCCCCTATCATTATATAAGTACTGTACCTATATAATGTCATCAATTTTACCTCTTGGCCCACAAAACCTAAAACATTTATTATCTAGCTCTTTCCAGAAAACGTTTGCCCCAGGTCTAGACTCCAGAGAGATGTTGAAAATAACATTGAAAAGTACTGTATGAAGATGGAATAGCCCCAAGCTACAATTACCTCTCAAAAATAACACAGCCTGGAAATGACTGAAATTTCAATCAAATTAACCAGGTCATGAAACGTTCTTGATATATTCTGCTGATTTAGTTTAGAGAAGTTAAGGGAGGAGGAAAAAAAAACCTTGTTTGTATGAGCTGTAATAGAAAGGAAGATGAATGGAAAATAAAAGGAAAAGCAACTGAAGAGGAAAAATTTGATGTATTTTTTTAATTGATGATAATGGTAAAAATAATTATGTAAAAATAATGATATCGAACACCTACATATTCATGCACTGAATAAGCACTTTATATACATTTAATCCTTGTAAGACGTTGAAAGACAGAAGTCAGAGCTATCTGCTGATACCAAAGCCAGTTTGTCAGCAGTAAAATCTCCAAAAAAAAAAGAAGAAAAAGAAGCCGAGACTAGAGATTAAGGGCCTTGAATGCTACACTGGGAAAGGTTTATTCTTTCTTTATTTAGCTATTAAATTTTTATTTATTTATTTATTTATTTATTTATTTATTTATTTTTGAGACGGAGTTCATTCTTGTTGCCCAGGCTGGAGTGCAATGGCACAATCTCGGCTCACCGCAACCTCCACCTCCTGGGTTCAAGCGCTTCTCCTGCCTCAGCCTCCTGAGTAGCTGGGATTACAGGCATGCGCCACCATGCTCGGCTAATTTTGTATTTTTAGTAGAGACAGGGTTTCTCCATGTTGGTCAGGCTGGTCTCGAACTCCCGACCTCAGGTGATCCACCTGCCTCGGCCTCCCAAAGTGCTGGGATTACAGGCGTGAGCCACCGCACCCGGCCTAAACTTTTAATTAATTAATTTATTTATTTATTTATTCAGAGATGGGGTCTCCCCATGTTGCCTAGTGTGGTCTCAAACTCCTGGCAAAGGCGATCCTCCTGCCTTGGTCTCCCAAAATGCTGGGATTACAGGTGTGAACTACTGTGCCTGGTCTCCAATTATCCTTTTGACTGGGAGGCCCTGAAGGATTTTCAGAAAAGGTGTGAGATTATCAGTTCTGTGCTCTGGGATGATAACAAGGATAGTTTCAGGAGATTAGTCTTGAGTCCAACAGGCCAGAGAGAAACTTTTTCGATGGTTAACAGTCCAAGAAAGAGCCAGTGAGGGTCAGTATCTGTGTTGGATGAGAAGAGAATTTCAGAAATACTTCCCAGCTTGACCACAGGTGACAGAGTGGACATGTAGGCTATGGGGCAAGGACTCAAAGACCAGTTTGAAGTTTCTGGTAGCAAAATGAGAGAACTCAGATAAGAAACCAGTTTATGGGAGAAAATAATGCATCAATAGTGGAGATTATTTGCAATTCCTGGAGAATATTCAGGGCAGGTTGTTCAAGGGACAATTGGAAATGTGTCTACAAGTTCAGAAAGATGTCTGTCTTGTCTAGGGAGAGAGGTTTGGGAACCACGAGGAGATGGCTGACCTTCAGAGGGGGTTAGAGAAGGAGAGGGCAGGGGAGAAAGGAGATATGAGGGGAAACTAACATTTCTAGACTGGAGTCTGAGAAACTCACATCACTGAGAGGGAAGGGGGGTGTATGGATAGTTAGCAAGAAACAGTGGTATTATCACAAGAATAGAATTTCGAGTGAGAAGTCAGTGGACTGTTACAGAGCCATCAAAGAAGAAAAGGACTGTAAACCTGTAATTGGTTTTGGCAATTAGAAGGTCACAGATGACATCTGATAAAACAGGGAGGGACAGTGCCTGAGGGGTGATGGCAGGGGAGGTTGGGCAGAGGAAGGCAGGCAGGACGGCTGGGCAGACTGGGACTATGGAAGGTTTTTCAGGATAGAGAAAAATGGTAAATGCCTAGAGAGGGAGAGGGAGACACTGAAGATTCCACAGTTCATGGAATAACGATGGGGAGGGGATAGACTTAAAAGCTCAGGGGGTCTTGACCCTGGAACTTCCCTTCCCTTCTAATCAGAAGACTCCACATTCCTTGCTAAGCAAACACATCGTATTAAAAAAAAAAAAAAGGTTGGCTGGAATACGCTCTATGCTCTCACTGGTGTAGAATGATGGTTACGGGGCAATGCGTGAGTTTTTCTCTGGGTGCTGGTCACAGCATTTTTGTTGTTGTTGTTTTTGTTTTGTTTTGTTTTGTTTTTGAGACGGAGTCTTGCTCTGTCGCCCAGGCTGGAGTGCGGTGGCGCGATCTCGGCTCACTGCAAGCTCCGCCTCCCGGGTTCACGCCATTCTCCTGCCTCAGCCTCCCGAGTAGCTGGGACTACAGGCGCCCGCCACCACGCCCGGCTAATTTTTTTGTATTTTTAGTAGAGACGGGGTTTCACCGTGTTTGCCAGGATGGTCTCGATCTCCTGACCTCGTGATCCGCCTGCCTCGGCCTCCCAAAGTGCTCGGATTACAGGCTTGAGCCACCGCGCCCGGCCGCATCTTTGTTTTTTATTTTCTCCATCTTCAACGGGGATCAAAACATTCGACATTATTGAATTTTGCAATCCAACACTTTCTTTTCCCTACTTACTGAATCCCAGTAGGGATTGTGAACTTCAAATATCTGAGACAGGTCTCAGTCAAATTAGAAGGTTCATTTTGTCAAGGTTAAGGATGGGCGCCCGTGACGCATAAAACCAAGCTTAGCTGGACCTGGTGGTGTGGTCCTGTCATCCCAGCTACTTAGGAGGCCAAGGTTGGGGGATCCCTTGAGCCTGGAAGGTTGATGCTGCAGCCTTAATTGTGCCGTTGCACTCCAGCCTGGGTGACAGAGTGAGACCTTGTCTCTAAAAAATTAAATATAAGCAAATAAAAATGCAGTTATTAGATAAATAAATGGGAAGACACATTATTGTCAAGACACAGACCACACTTGCCTATTTCATAAAATTCCTTTAGTTGCTGCTCCCCCAACTGCATTAATATGTGTGATGTCACTTTCCAAAACTGTGTAAAACACATAAATAATTCTGATTATAAAATCAATTTCTCTCCATGTGAGGTCAGACAGACACCGTCTACAATTCTGTTTCTCAAGAGTTGCCCGGGAACTAGTACATTATCATTCAGTTAGTAAAGCAACCATGACAACGGTTTCAAGATGGAAGGTGTTAAGAAAGTACTAATTATTAGAACATTTAAAAAATTGTATTCAGATTTCAGCAGTGGCTCAATACGTGTGGTCCCCAGACCAGTAGCATCAGCATCACCTGGGAACTTGGCAGAAATGCAGATTCTGGAGCCTCACGCCAGACCTCCAGCCTTAGCAACTCTGGGGGTGGGGCCCAGCCATCTGCATCTTAATGAAGTCCTCAAAGTGAGGCTGCCCAGCTCTAAGACCGAGGGCCAGGGATTTACACTTGGCCTTTCTGCTTAGCGGTCCAAGAACCTCACCCGGGGGCATCACCTGGGGACAATTTAGAAGTGCAGACTTTTGGGCTGCACCCCAGAGCCACTGAATGTGAACCCGCCCCTAGCCTAACACGACCCCCAGAGAATTCACGTCTGAAAAGCCTTGGTCTGTATTACGATCTCTGCATGAGGTAAGAAGGACTTCTTCTCCAGTTAGGTTAAAAAAACTGGCTACCTAAGTGGAGAAGCGGTGAAATTGTTTTAAAACATCCAACCCACTGAGCCCAATGCACCACAAACTGCTTGCTTATCACGCTCGAGCAATGACAGGGCTCGGTGGCAGGCGGGGTAAAAAGGGGGGACCTGGACCAGGACACTCAGGGACCAGCGCTCTGCTTGCCAGGTGGGTCCCCAGGAACAGGTGTGACTGGTGGGAAGGGTCGCGAAGGGGGGCGATCTTTCTGCGCAGGGGAGGGAAATGAAAGGAACGGGAAGGGGACGGCTGGGTGCGAGGCCCGGGATGTTCCGGGGAGCGCTGCCGGGTGCCAGGGAGCAGCCCCTCCCCGGGGGGAGGCCCGAGGGCAGGGGTCGGGGGCGGGGAGGGAGGTGGGCCCCAGACCGGCGCGGGGGCGGGCGGCTCCGCTGCACCCCGCCCCCGGCCCGCCCCTCCGCGGCGCCATTTTGCAGGCGGCTGTCGCGGGGACCGGAGGCGGAGGCTGCAGCGGGCACTGCGGCGCCGAGGCGCGGCGGCAGGACGGGAACCACGCGAGCTGCAGCCAGGTGAGAGCCCGGCCGCCGCGCCCCCTGCCCGGCCTGCGGGCCGCACCTGCCGGCGGGGCCGCGAGGTGCTCGCCGCGCCCACGAGGCCGGCCTGGCACGGCCCCCGCGCGCTGTCACCCACCGGCCCCGCGGCGCGGCCTGCGCGCCCCCACCCCGACCCATCTCCCGGGACCCCGCGCCCGCCGGCCACCCTGGCCCCGGGGCCCAAGATGCCCGGCGGCCCTCAGCTCCTGCCGTTCTGCCGGCCGGGCCGGGCCCCCGGGGTACCCACCCCTTCCCGCCACGGGAGCCACAGCGCGCTCGGGCCCTCAGGCCGCGCAGCGGGGAGGCAAATGGGGCGCCCCCAGAACCCCACTGGCTGCCGCCGCCTCCTCCCGGGCTCTGCGCCCGCGCGTCCTGGGGTCGCTTCCCTCGCCCCTCCCCCGGTGGTGCGCACGGGCATCGTCTCGCCCCCTGGAATTCAGGGGCATCAGGAGGGGCGGCAAGAGGGTGCCTTTTACATTCTTGCTTTCTTCCCTTCTACAAAGACTGCGCGAAGTAATTTTAGAAGCAGCTCCTCCGACCCCGGGGCCTTTCTGGCCTGTTCCCTGGGGGGTCGCGAGTCCCCCTCCTTGCCACCTTTCGGGGGGAAAAAATGACATTTCGAGTGTGACTACTTTAAGGCGCAGGATTTTCTCCTTCGTTTGGTCCTAGATGCCCCCCCTTGGATGGGTGGCTGATAGGATGTCGGCCTGCAGGCTGGGGGTTTAAGCGTGACTGATGGGAAATTATCGATTGTCAGGGCAAAGGGTAAATGAGGGCAACTGCAGGTGGAAGAAAGTCACCCATAAGGGCTTTCTGGGTCTGCAGCGTTTGTAGTAGGTGCTACTTCTATTCTTGCAGTGCTGGGAGACGGGCGGGGGAAGATGCAGTCCCTGCTGACAATTGGGTCATCTGCGCGCAGAGAAGGCCCCGGGATGTGCGAGGACATGGGACTGGGAGTCCGGAGGCAGTCTGGTTTGAGCTGTCACTAATTGGCCATGTGACCTCCCTCAGCCGGCTTCGTCCTCTCTGAAGCAAAAGGCTGGAATTGGGGTGGCTGGAGCATTTTTATTTTATGCTTTTGTATTTGAATGCTGTTGGGTTTGGGCCTCACCGTTTCTGGTTGTCTACACCTGCCTTTTTCACCGTTGCAGGTGACGTTGCCTGCCTCCCCTGAAGGTGTTTGAACCTGGTGAGATGTATAAAGGGCCCTTTTCAGCTCAAAAAATCAGAATTCTGTGCTGGGTTATGGTTGGCTCTATCAGGGTCACTTATGAACGTATTACTACTGTTCTCTTTTCATTCATCCCCAATTTAATGGCTTTTGGGCACCAGTGGGTGTGCCCAGTGTAAGCTCTCATGGCACACCTGCTAGTTAAAGGGAGGCAGCAGGTGTGTCCAGCCTGTTCCATGTGACATCCTGAGCATGAGGTATCTGCTTTCTAGGCTATTTCCTTTGCCAAAATGGCAACCAGCTTCTTTCTTTTAATACCAAGGCATTTCTCTTTTGGTTTCTTTGCTTAGAGTGGAGGGTGATTTTTTAAGACAATAGGTATTTCAGGAACTTTTTATGTTGACAGTATTTTAGATGGTTGTCTGGCAGTTGTATTCTCTGACTGTGGCACGGTCAATTAAGTCAATTAAGTTTAAACATCTGTTGACATGTTTAAAAAATGCCTATTGAAGTACCTGGGCCGGGTGTTGTGGTTCACACCTGTAATCCCAGCACTTTGGGAGGCTGAGGTGGGAGGATTGTTTGAGGCCAAGAGTTCAAGACCAGCCTAGGCAACCCAGCAAGACTCCTGTTTCTATAAAAAAAAAAAAAAAATAGCTGAGTATGGCGGCCAGCTTAAAAAAAACCAGTACCTGGCTAGAAAAATGTAGATGGTTTTGCTAGGTTTCATGCCATACTATCTATCTCATTGATGGAGCAAACTCTAGTCTATGTAGCATTGCAGAAGTGAGTCATGTGTCCCGGGGCAGGCAAGCACATGTAGCCACCCACTGAGTAGTCTGTCCATCTGTGTCTGCCCATCCATCCATCCACTTGGTGACCAGGTTCTGTTGAACAGATCGTTGTTGAATAAACTGTGTCTTTTGCCCTCACAGAGCCTAAGGTCTAGTTTGTGGGGTGTTTGAAATCCCGAATTGGCTATTGTTGTCCTCTTCAGTGTCTCTAAAGACAAACCAGGGATCTATTTGGGGACCTATATTCTGGTACCACTGGTAGCTTGAGGAATTTTCCCATTTTGGTTAAGGTAATTAAAAGCAGTAGGCCGGGGCTGGGCATGGTGGCTCATGCCTGTAATCGCAGCACTTTGGGAGGCTGAGGCGGGCAGGTCGCTTGAGCTCAGGAGTTCGAGAGCAGCCTGGCCACCATGGTGAAACCTCGTCTCTACTAAAAATACAAAAGTTAGCCGGGCATGGTGGCGCATGCCTGTATTTCCGGCTACTCAGGAGGCTGAGGCAGGAGAATCGCTTGAACCTGGGAGGTGGAGTTTGCAGTGAGTCGAGATCGTGCCACTGCACTCCAGCCTGGGTGACAGAGTGAGACTGTCTCCTAAAAAAAAAAAAAAAAAGATCAACAGTAATGATTTGAAATTATATGGTGCTTTGTACATGTAAATTGAAGCTTTTTAAAAACGTATTTATATTTAATCCTCTTAGGCTTTTTAAATTTAAACATCTTACAGTCCTTCCTGAACCGTTTCCTGGCCTTGCCCATAAAACTCTCACACACCAGTCTGTTGGTTCCCAGTGCCCAGTAACCTCACCTCATTAATTCATTTTCATGCCCTGCTATTCCTCCAGTTGTTCTCTGGGCTTGCTTTTATTCTTTCTGTAGGGAACCATCCTCCTCCAGGTTAAGCTGTGCATTGCAGCCTCTAGGTTGAAACGAGCCCTTTGTGCGCTATGCCGTTCTTCTCATTTTCTCTGTGGCTTTGCTATTTTGAACCTGTTATTTCGTCACAGGTTCTAGGTTCTTGGCTCTCCTGTAATTGAGGTCTGCTTTCAGCTTGCACCTTTCATAGGCCTTTCATACATTTATTACATTGAGTGCCTGATCTGTGCTGGGTAATATTCTTGGTGCTTGGGATGCTGCAGGGAGATTCCCAGCCCACATGGAGCCCACACTGTAGGGATGTGGACAATGAGATCTGGTTCTGTGAAGAGGAATCTGACAAGGCTCGGGGGATTAAGTGTGGGGATGGGAGTTGATATTTTTGGAAGGGTAGACAGGGAGGAAGGTATATGAGTCTGCTAACACTGCCATAACAAAAATAGCACAGTGTGGGTGGCTTAAACAACGGAAATTTGTTTCGTATAATTCTGGAGTCTGGGAAGTCCAAGGTCAAGGTTCTGGCCTCTTTAGTTTCTGGTGAGGGCTTTCTTCCTGGCTTGTAGGTGGCCATCCTCTTGATGAGTCCTCACATGGCCTTTTCTTGGTGCCATTTATCTTTCTGTTCAAGCACTGTTGGTCACACCTGTAATCCCAGCACTTCAGGAGGCTGAGGCAGGAGGATCACTTGAGACCAGTCTAGGCAACATAATAAGACTCTGTCTCTACAAAATAAAATAAAATAAAATAAAAAATTCGCTGGACGTGGTAGTAGTGCCTGTAGTCCCAGCTACTCAGGAGGCTGAGGTGGGAGGATTGCTTGAGCCCAAGAGGTTGAGGCTGCAGTGAGCCATGATTGTGCCACTGCACACCAGCCTGGGTGACAAAGCTACTTTGTTTAAAAAAATAAAGTTTTCCTATTGGATCAGGGCCCCATCCTTAAGAACTCATTTAAACTTGGTTACCTCCTAAAGGCTCTATCTCTAAATACAGCCACATTGTGGGGGTAGGGCTTCAATATAATGAATTCTTTCGGTGGTGGTGGGGGATACAGTTGAGTTCATAGCAGAGGGCTTGAGTCATTTTTAACTAAAGATGTGTAGGGAGTGAGGCATGTGGAGATCTGGGAGAAGGATCATTCTGAGGGGAGGAAACAGCAGATACAAAGGCCCTGAGGCAGGAGGAGGGGAGAATTTGGTCTTGAGGTCAGAGAAACCATGGGGGTCAGATCATGTAAGGCCATGCGGACCACTGTAAGGCTGGTAGATTTTACCTTGAGGGTGGTAGAAGCCATTGGAGGGTTTTGGAGTAAAGAAGGGAGGTGGACTGATCTAGCTTTTAGCAAGCACACTCTAGGCGTTGCTGTGTGAGACAGATTGAAGGCAGGACAGCAAGGAGACCAGCCAGAATGCAGGGCTGAGGGGAGACTAGTGGGATTTCAAGGTGAGGTTGAGATTTGCTGATGAACCAGAAAGAAAACTGAGGAGGACTCCGAGGTTCTGGTCTTAGCACCTAGAAAGAAAGAGGCCATTAACTGAGATGCTGGAGGAGCTGGTTTAGGCCATGTTAAGTTGTGATGCCAACCCAGCATACCCAAATGCAGCAGAAAAGCAAGGGTGGAGATTTTTGGGGAAGGTCATCCTCAATGGAAATATAAATCTTGGGAGCTTCTCATTGTCCTTTGTCCCAATTTTCGACTTTGACCTCAGGTGACCTCAGCCAAGTCTGTGACCTCAGATCTAGGTGTCTCTAAGGCCCTCTATGGAAATTCCATCCTTAAAGGAGAGTGGTTTTCTCTGGTCAGTGATCAGGAAAATCTTCACTCATGAGTTGTTGTTTTTTTTTTTTTTTTTTTTTTTTGAGATGGAATCTTGCTCTGTCACCTAGGCTGGAGTGCAGTGGTGTGACCTCGGCTCATTGCAACTTCTGCCTCCCGGGTTCAAGGGATTCTCCTGCCTCAGCCTCCCAAGTAGCTGGGATTATGGGTGCATACCACTGTACCCGGCTAATTTTTGTATTTTTAGTAGAGATGGTGTTTCACCATGTTGGCCAGCCTGGTCTCAAACTCCTGACCTCGTGATCCGCCCACCTTGGCCTCCCAAAGTGCTGGGATTACAGGCATGAGCCACCGTGCCTGGCCCACTCATGAGTTTTGCCCACTCATGAGTTTTGCTCAAAGCAGCTGATGGCTCGGGCTTCCTTCCCAAAGGCATCATCTCATTGAGCACCTGGTGGAGGTCATCCATCTATGTGTGTAACTCTTACAGAGATGAATCCCTCTATCTTCTAAGTTGAATGGAAGTGCAGTTTGATAAGGTGCGCTTCTCTGTTGGACCCTCTCCAAGCAATAGAAGGGACCCTAGAAAGACAAGAGAGCCCCATGTGATAGGGCCAAGGAAACAGTGATGGTGCCCATAGGTATTGATTATGCATTGGGCACTTTAGGTTATTATTGCTAGTCCTAGCAACTGGCAGGCAAGGTGGCTTCTGGTCCTTCATTTATTGATGAAGTCTTGGGTAACTTCTGTAAGTTAATTCCTGAGTCTTGAATTCTGTTCCATTAAACCACTGTAGAACACTATTCCCAGCTCTCATCTGAAACTCAGGGTTTCTAAGTTCTCGTTAGTATAGAAGAGGGCAGAGAAGCCAGTGTCAGTTGAGTGCCAGGGAGCTCTGCCCAGCACTCCTGTGTTCTTTCACGTTGATCAGTCTCTGCAGCCCTGTGGGCTGGGTATTAACGCTTTTCATCCTACAGCTGAGGATGCTGAGGTGTGGCAGGAGGGCAGCTTCTTGCCTAGGGTCTTAGCGCTGACAAGTAGAGTCAGGATTTGACCCTAGGCCGGTCAGTTGCCAAGCTCGAAGTTAGACTCTAATCATGCTGTGTTCCAGGATGACTTTTGGGGACTTGGGATAGAAAGTAGGGTTAGGCTACAGAAGTTGGGAATGACATTCCAGATCGAGGGATCAGTGTGAGCAAAGGGTGGAGCAGGAGAGGCATGTGACTGGGAGAGGGTAACTGAGTTAGGACAGTTGGAAGGATGCTGAGGATGTGATGGGGGTCAGGTGGAGAGGTCCTTTGATACTGTATTATGGGGCTTGAATCTTTGTCTGGAAAGGCACGGGGAGATTCCCAGAAGGGGAGTGACTTGTTCAGATGTGCATTTTAGAAAATTTTGGGGTGGAGTAAAGGGTGCACTGGGAGGAGGCTGAGGCTGAATGGGAGCAGGACCGTCTCCTCTTGCTCCTGCCTTGTTTGCCTGTGGTTCATTCCTGGCTACAGTGTTTGCCTTTATGCACCCTAGCTTGGATTCTTTCTGTCAATTCCCTTGTTTGTTCCTGTAGGAATCTTCTACCCACCACCTCAACGCTCACACATTTTTTCCCCCCACTGGCTTTCCTTTGTTCAAGTGAATATATACATACCCCCAGCTCCATTCAATTAAATTTGAATAAGCTTTTTCATTTTGGACCATCATTTCATCTCAGAGTTCTTGGCTTTGTGACTCTGAGGGTCTTCTCCACCCTGCTTCAGACCGAAAGCACTGCTGTGTCCTCAGTCTTCATGAAGGAAACACAATTGCTTTCTTTCTTTCTTTTTTCTTTTTTTTTTTGAGACAGAGTTTTGCTCTTGTTGCCCAGGCTAGAGTGCAATGGTGCGATCTTGGCTCACTGCAACCTCCACCTCCTAGGTTCAAGCGATTCTCCTGCCTCAGCCTCCTGAGTAGTTGGGATTACGGTCACTGCAACTGCGCCTGGCTAATTTTTGTATTTTCATATTTTTTTTGGGGACGGAATCTTGCTCTGTCGCCCAGGCTGGAGTGCAGTGGTGCGATATCGGCTCACTGAAACCTCCGCCTCATGGGTTCAAGCGATTCTTCTGCCTCGGCCTCCTGAGTAGCTACGCCTGGCTAATTTTCATATTTTTAGTAGAGACGGGGTTTCACCGTATTGTTCAGGCTGGTCTCGAACTCCTGACCTCGTGATCCACCTGCCTCAGCCTCCCAAAGTGCTGAGATTACAGGTGTGAGCCGCCGCACCTGGCCAACACAATTTCTTATACATTCTACTTTAGATGGGATTTCAGCCTCAAATTCGGTTTGGCTTTATTGACTCCTCTCCAGGGCTGGCTAAAATCATTTCCTGTCTCCAAAGGCAGATCACCTAGCTGGGGGCTAACTACAACACCTTCCTTGTCAAACATGGATCTCATTCTGAAGATCTAGGGTGGACCCCGAAAATGTGCATTTCTCACAAGTTCTCAGGTGACAGGGATGTTGCTGGTGGAGGCATCACCAGCATCTGGTTTTGTAAATAAGGTTTAATTGCAACACAGCCAAGCTCACTCAAGAGACCATGTAACTCTGGCCCTTTACAGAAAAAGTTTGGTGATCCTGCTTCACAGTAAGGTATATGTGGTCAGTGCTGAGAATTTTCTATTGAATTCATGTATCTATATTTTTTGAGACAGGGTCTGTCACCCAGGCTGGAGTGCAGTGGTGAGATCTCTGCTCACTTGCAGCTTCTGCCTCCCGGGCTCAAGAGATCCTCCCACTTCAGCCTCTTGAGTAGCTGGGACTACAGGCATGTACCACTACACCCAACTAATTGTTGTATTTTTTGTAGAGACAGGGTTTCACTATGTTTTTAGAGATGGGGGTCTCCTGTGTTGGTCAGGATGGTCTCGAACTCTTGAGCTCAAGCCTCCTAAAGTTCTGGGATTACAGCCGTGAGCCACTGTTCCCAGCCCAAGTTCATATATTTCTTATCAAGAGCTTTTTTGATATTTATATTTATAGACATTGCTTCACAAATTTTTCCACAGATGCATGATATGGGGGAATGTATGCATATTTAAAAGTGTTTGGAATATAACAAGCATGACACTTCTTTTAAGTCTCTTCTGTTTTATCTAAAATTAATGTGAATTTCTCATTCTGTTTCAGAAACATCAGTGCTTGTTTTAATATAAAACATTTTTCTTCCATGTTCTTTGAGTAAAGTTGATGCTACTAGATACATTGTTTTTGATCTTGACCTGCTTGAGAAACACGTACAGGTTGAATATACCTTCTCCGAAGTGCTTATGACTAGAAAGTGTTTTGGATTTTGGGTTTCTTTTTTTCTTTTTTTTTTTTCGGATTTTGGCATATTTGCACTATACTTACCAGTTGAGCATTCCTAATTTTTTAATCTGAAATTCAGAATGCTTCAGTGAGCGTTTCCTTTTTTTTTTTTTTTGAGACGGAGTCTTGCTTTGTCGCCCAGGCTGGGGTGCAGTGGCGCGCCCAGGCTGGAGTGCAGTGGCACGATCTCAGCTCACTGCAAGCTCCACCTCCCAGGTTCATGCCATTCTCTTGCCTCAGCCTCCCTAGGAGCTGGGACTGCAGGCGCCCGCTACCATGCCTGGCTAATTTTTTGTGTGTGTGTTTTTAGTAGAGACGGGGTTTCACTGTGTTGGCCAGGATGGGCTCGATCTCCTGACCTCGTGATCCACCTGCCTCGGCCTCCCAAAGTGCTGGGATTACAGGCATGAGCCACTGCGCCAGGCTGAGCATTTTCTTTTGAGTGTCTTGTTGGCACTCAGAAAGTACTGAATTTTGGAGCCTTTCAAATTTTGGATCCTTTCAAATTTTGGATTTTTGAATTAGGAATACTCAACCTGTGTTAAGATTTGCATTTTTTTGTCCTACTTTGCAAATATTTTTTTCTATGCCTTGACTTAAATTCAAGTCTGTTGGCCAAGCGCGGTGGCTCATGCCTGTAATCTCAGCACTTTGGGAGGCCGAGGTGGGCAGATCACCTGAGGTCAGGAGTTCCAGACCAGCCTGACCAACATGGAGAAACCCCGTCTCTACTAAAAATACAAAATTAGCCCGGCATGGTAGTACATGCCTGTAATCCCAGCTACTCGGGAGGCTGAGGGAGGAGAATCACTCGAACCCGGGAGGTGGAGGTTGCAGTGAGCCAAGATCGCCTCATTACACTCTAACCTGGGCAACAAGAGCGAAAAACTCCGTCTCCAAAAAAAAAAAAAAAAAAAAACTGTCAATCTTTTTTTATTTCCCATGGCTTTGTTATCCCTAAATTTTATAGGTATTCACTCATGTTTTCTCTTAGTTCTTTAAAAAAAAATTGGCTATAATTAGTCTGATATTTGTTTTGGAGTATGGTATGAAGTAAGGATTATTTGTCCCCTCTAGTTTATATTTTTTGGGTACTATTAATTCATCCTTATTAACTTAAAAAATAACACCTTAATCATATGCTGAATCCTTGGATCTGTTGTTTTAGTCAGTTTATCTGTTCTTTTGCCATGACCTTACTATTTTAGACATTAAAATCACTTTATAGTAGGCTTTATTATCTGGTAGTGCCTATGCTCAGTTTTTACTCCAGTGTTTTTCAATTTAGGGTTTCAAAATACTCCCTCCATCTTGAGATGGAGTCTCACTCTGTCCCCCAGGCTTGAGTGTAATGGCGCGATCTCGGCTCACTGCAACCTCTGCCTCCCAGGTTCAAGTGATTCTCCTGCCTCAGCCTCCCGAGTAGCTGGGATTACAGGCATGTGCCACCACGCCTGGCTAATTTTTGTATTCTTAGTAGAGACAGAGTTTCACCATGTTGGCCAGGCTGTCAAAATACTGTTAATGGGAAATTTCATTAAATGCATAAGTTAATTTGGGGAGACTTGTCATCTTTATAATATTGACTTGTTCTGTGTATGAACAGAAAAAGTCAGTGTCTCTAGATTTTTCCTAATATGTGGTCTATAGATTACTTTTGTGTGTGTGTGTGTGTGTGTGTGTGTGTGTGTGTGTGTGTGTGAAACGGAGTCTCTCTCTGTCACCCAGGCTGGAGTGCAGTGGTGTGATCTCAGCTCACTGCAACCTCCGCCTCCTGGATTCAAGCAATTCTCCTGCCTCGGCCTCCTGAGTAGCTGGGATTACAGGTGTGCACCACTACACCCAGCTAATTTTTGTATTTTTAGTAGAGATGGGGTTTCACCGTATTGGTCAGGCTGGTCTTGAACTGCTGACCTTGTGATCCACCTGCCTCGGCCTCCCAAAGTGCTGGGATTAGAGGCATGAGCCACCATGCCTGGCTGATTACTTATTCTTTATTTTAAAGTATTTGCTGGACTGGACATGTGATTTATGCCTGTAATCCCAGTACTTTGGGAAGCCGACATGGGAAGATTGCTTGAGGTCAGGAGGTTAAGACCAGTTTGGGAAACGTAGTGAGACCCCATGTCTGCAAAAATTTTTAAAGTGGCCTGGCGTGGTGGTGTGCATACCTGTGGTCCCACTGACTAGGGAGGCTGATTGTGGGAAGAGAACTCAAGCCCAGGAGTTCAAGGCTGCAGTGAGTTGTGATGGTGCCACCGCACTCCAGCCTGGGCAATAGAGGGAGACACCCTGCTCAAAAACAAAGAAAATATTTGGTATTTAGAATGCGATTATCTCCCCTCACACCTCCCTCCCACCCGCTATTACTAACTGGTATAGAGCAGGTATAAAGCAAGTATACTGCTTGCAGTTTGTATGCTGTGGGTTGTTTTTTTTTTTTTTTTTTTTGAGATGGAGTTTTGCTCTTGTTGCCCAGGCTGGCGTCAGTGGTGCGATCTCAGCTCACTGCAACCTCCTTCTCCCAGGTGATTCTCTTGCCTCAGCCTCCGATGTAGAATTACAGTCCTGTTCCACCATGCCTGGCCACTTTTGTGTTTTTAGTAAAGACAGGGTTTCACCATGTTGGTCAGGCTGGTCTTGAACTCTTGACCTCTAGCGATCCACCTGCCTTGGCCTCCAACAGTGCTGGGAATTACAGGCGTGAGCCACTGTGCCCGGCCTTGTTTTTATAATAAGATAAGAGATGGAGGCCGGGGCAGTGGCTCACGCCTGAAATCCCAGCACTTTGGGAGGCCGAGGTGGGTGGATCACCTGAGGCCAGGAGTTCAAGACCAGCCTGGCCAACATGGTGAAACCCCCACTCTATTAAAAAAAAAAAAAATTAGCTGGTTGTGGTGGTGCATGCCTGTAGTCCCTGCCACTCAGGAGGCTGAGTAGCATGGGAATCAATTGAACCCAGGAAACGGAGGTTGCAGTGAGTCGAGATCGCGCCACTGCATTTCAGCCCAGGCCACTGAGTGAGACTCTGTCTCAAAAAAAACCATAAAATAAAATAAAAAATAAGCTAGAGATGGAATCTTGCTGTGTTGCCCAGGCTGGCCTCCAGCTCCCAGCCTCAAGTAATCCTCTGCCTTGGTCTCCTGAAGTGCTGGGATTACAGGGATGAGCCACTGCACCTGGCCAGTCTGTATGTTTTATAACCTGTATTAGTCAGGGTAGGTAATGCTAGTTAAAATCTGTGGCCTGACAAAGAAAACATTTATTTCTTGCTCACACTTTTTTAGATGGTTCTTTTCTAAGTGGTGACTTGGGGATCTGGGCTCCTTCCATTTTTGTCACAACTGACAAGAAGATGTGACCTTAAGTTTGCCGTGTAATTTTGTGCATGGAAGTTTTTTTCATGGGCCAAGCTTGGAAGTAGTAGTATTTCTTCTGCGGTCTGTTGGCTGTATTTTAGGTGCAAGGGGGCTGGGAAGTGGAGTCCTTTGGTGTGTCCGTGAGGAAAATGTAATAGCACCGTGTCTGCTATGCTACTTAACCAAACTCTGTTGTTCTTATTTTTCAGTAGATTCTCTTGAGTTTCTTAGATAGGTAATCATAATACACATTGAGCATTTCTAATCCCCAAATCTAAAATGGGAAACTTTTGAGCACTGACAGGATGCCACGAGTGGAAAATTCCGCACCTGACCTCATGTCATGGGTTGCAGTCAAAACTTTATTTCATATGCAAATTTTTTTTTTTTTAAGGGATCTTGCTCTGTCACTCAGGCTGAAGTATAGTGGCAAGATCATGGCTCACTGCAGCCTTAATCTCCTAGGCTCAAGCGATCTTCCTGCTTTGGCCTTCCAAAGTGCCAGGATTACAGGTGTGAGCCGTTGCACCTGGCCATTATACACAAAATTATTTAAAATATTGAGTAGAATTACCTTCAGGCTATGTGTCTAAGGCGTATATGAAACATAAATGAATTTTGTGTTCAGACTTCGGTCCCATTCTCAAGATATCTCACTATATATATATGCAAATATTCCAAAATCAGAAAAGATACAAAATTTGAAACACTTCTGGTCCCAAGCATTTTATACAAGGAATACTTAACTTGTAGCTGCAAATGATCATTTTGTCTTTTTTTTTCCTCCTTCCTATAGTTAGCTATTTCTTTTTCTTTTTTTTTTTTTTGAGACGGGGTCTCGCTCTGTCACCCAGGCTGGAGTGCAGCAGCGATCTCGGCTCATTGCAAGCTCTGCCTCCCAGGTTCAAGTGATTCTCCTGCCTCAGCCTCCTGAGTAGCTGGGACTACAGGCACCCACCACCATGCCCGGCTAATTTTTGTATTTTTAGTAGAGATGGGGTTTCACCACATTGGTCAGGCTGGTCTCGAACTCCCTCCTGACCTTGTGATCCACCCGCCTCGGCCTCCCAAAGTGCTGGGATTACAAATGTGAGCCACCGCGCCCGGCCTAGTTAGCGATTTCTTTTCCTTTTCCCTTTCCCTTTCCCTTTCCTTGACAGAGTCTCACTCTTGCTGCTCAGCTGGAGTGCAATGGCGCAATCTTGGCTCACTGCAACTTCCACCTCCAGGTTCAAGCGCTTCTCCTGTCTCAGCCTCCCTAGTAGCTGGGATTACAGGTGCCTGAACACCTGGCTAATTTTTTTTTTCTTTCTTTCTTTTTTTTTTTTTGAGACGAAGTCTCTCTCTATCGCTAGGCTGGAGTGCAGGGGCGCGATCTCAGCTCACCACAACCTCCATCTCCTGGGTTCAAGTGATTCTCCTGCCTCAGCCTCCCGAGTAGCCGGGACTACAGGTGTGTGCCACCATGCCTGGCAAATTTTTGTATTTCTAATAGAGACAGGGTTTCACTATGTTGGCCAGGCTGGTCTCTAACTCTTGACCTCATGATCCACCTGCCTCAACCCCCCAAAGTGCTGGGATTACAGGTGTGAGCCACTGTGTCCAGCCAATTTTTGTATTTTTAATAGAGACAGGGTTTCACCATGTTGGCCAGGCTGATCTCGAACTCCTGACCTCAGGTGATTGGCCCCCCCTCGGTTTCCCAAAGTGCAGGGATTACAGGCGTGAGCCACCACACACGGTCAGCTACTTTTTGTTTTTGAGGTGGAGTTTTGCTCTTGTTGCCCAAGCTGGAGTACAATGGTGTGATCTTGGCTCACTGCAACCTCCGCCTCCCTGGTTCAAGCAATTCTCCTGCCTCAGCCTCCTGAGTAGCTGGGATTACAGGTGCCCACCACCAGGCCTGGCTAATTTTTTTTGTATTTTTAGTAGAGACAGGGTTTCGCCATGTTGGCCAGGCTTGTTTTGAACTGCTGACCTTGAGTGATCCGTCTGCCTTGGCCTCCCAAAGTGCTGAGATTACAGGCGTGAACCATCACGCATGGCCAACTTTTTTTTTTTTTTTTTAATGCATCGTGGAGTACTTGCAGAATAGGTTTAACTGTCATAGGTTTTATTTTCAATTTTTACTCAATTGCAATATTGTAAATATTCTTTAGTGGTATTCAAGAAGTGTCCTAATTACAGATTACAGTCTCATACATAGTTTTTTTTTTTTGAGATGGAGTCCTGCTCTGTCGCCCAGGCTGGAGCACAGTGGCGTGATCGGCTCACTGCAAGCTCCGCCTCCAGAGTTCACGCCATTCTCCTGCCTCAGCCTCCCGAGTAGCTGGGACTACAGGCGCCCGCTACCACGCCCGGCTAATTTTTTGTATTTTTAGTAGAGACGGGGTTTCACCGTGTTAGCCAGGATGGTCTCAATCTCCTGACCTCGTGATCTGCCCACCTCGGCCTTCCAAAGTGCTGAGATTATAGGCGTGAGCCACCGCGCCCGGCCACATAGTGTTTTTTTTAGCGAACAAAGCCCAGCATCTTGACATTGACCCTGCAATCCTCACAGATATTCTTGGTAGTCTCTCCCTGAGAGTGATAATTCTCTAAATTTTTGTTTCCCTGCTGATTTGAAGATGACCTCAGATTTCTTGCTGCGAGGAGTTTCACGAGTGATCGTTCTTCAGGTTTGTCCCCAGGGCTTCTGTTTTAGCCCCGGCTGTTGGATTGTGCAGCTGCTCGCATCTTCTGTGTCAAAGATCCTGACCTGCAGTGTTTGAAAATGTTGTCTCCCTCAGAGAAGTTTGATGGGTTTTTGTTCCTCTTCCTTTATTCTTTCATCCACTCAAAGATAAACTGAATAAGTTAGCAATATCGATTTTGTTCCTTCTCCTTTCTTTCCTCCAGTTGACCCTTGGCTTCTGTTTGAGTTCTTTTTGCACTTGCTTCTGGACCCCTAGTGTGAGTTTGGGGCCTGCATGTCCACGCTGCCCACCTGCAGCCCTGCAGTCCCCATTTCCAGTGATGGTACACCCTTCCCTGCGGAGCTCCACATGTGATCTACAGTAGACTTCACCAGAAGGGGCCTGAATTTAGTGGGAGTAGGAAGCTCCTCTGAACCCTGAGAGGTGGATGGAGGAGGGAAGCTTATTACTTGACTTACCAAAGTAGATACCAGGGTCAAATATACTTTTTCTGGTGTTTAGTTCCATTGCTTACAATGATGCTTTAAAGTGACTTCAGCTTTTTTTTTTTGATTTCTCTTTTTGACTCTGAGATCTCACACTTACTGTTTTATTTCTTGAATACGGTCAACTGCTAAAATATATTTTCCAGACTTTTTGTTTTGACTGACCCACTTCTCTCTATTTATATTCATCTCTGTGTGTGTGTGTGTGTGTGTGTGTGTGTGTGTGTGTGTGTATGTGTGTATGTATGTATCTCAGACAAAAGTTTCAAGGCCAGGCGCGGTGACTCATGCCTGTAATCCCAGCACTTTGGGAGGCTGAGGTGGATTGAGCACTTGAGGCCAGGAGTTCAAGAACAGTTTAGCCAACATGGTGAAACCCTATCTCTACTAAAAATACAAAAATTAGTCGGACATGGTGGCAGGCAGCTGTAATCCCAGCTACTCAGGAGGCTGAGGCAGGAGAATTGCTTGAATCCAGGAGGCGGAGGTTGTAGTGAGCCGAGATCGTGCCACTGCACTCCAGCTTGGGCAAAAAAATAAAAAGGTTTCATACCACACCACATAACCTTTGTTTTTTCTTTTTGTGGCGAAAGGGGTCTCTCTATGTTGCCCAGGCTAGTCTGGAACTCCTGGGTTCAAACCATCCTCCTGCCCCCGCCTCTGCTGGGATTATAGGCATGAGCCACTGCATCCAGCCAGATAACCTTTTAGGCCGTGTACTCTGAAATTTTCTATGCGGATTTCATGATAAAAATTTTGGTTATGATGCCCTAAATTGATATAGACCTTTAAGTAAGGCCTTTGATTTAGAAAGGTTAATTATTCATACTATCCTATGGAAAAGAAACCAGACGAGATTCTGTGGGCATGGCGGGAGAGGGATTCCCTACATCCAGAATAACACATAAGGAAGCTTCATTGAGATAATTTACATAAAATTCAGTTGTTTAAAGGATATGCTTCAGTAGTTGGTAGCATGTTCACTGAGTTTCATAACCACTACCATCTGGCTGTCATTAGTGGTTACTCTCCCTTCTCCCCTTTTCACCCAGCCTCTGGCAACACTAATCCGCAGTCTGTTTCTATAGATGTTCTCTTCTGGACATATAAATGGTATCATACAATATGTGGTTTTGGCCAGGCACAGTGGCTCATGCCTGTAATCCCAGCACTTTGGGAAGCCAAGGTGGGGGGATCACCTGAGCTCAGGAGTTCAAGACCAGCCTGACCAACATGGTGAAACCCTGCGTCTACTAAGAATACAAAAATTAGCTGGGCATGGTGGCGCGCACCTGTAGTCCCAGCTACTAGGCAGGCTGAGGTGGGGGTATTGCTTGAACCCGAGTGGTGGAGGTTGCAGTGAGCCGAGATCATGCTACTGCACTCCAGCCTGGGCAATAGAGCGAGACCCTGTCTCAAAAAAAAAAAAAAATGTGGTTTTTTGTGATAGGCTTTTTCACTTAGCATAATGTTTTCAAGGTTTATGCATGTTACAGCATGTGTCAGTACCTCCACTTTATTGCTGAATAATCCATTGTATGGATATACCACATTTTGTTTATCCATTAATTAGTTGATGGACATTTGGGTTATTTTCACATTTGCCTGTTATAAATAATGCTGTTATGAACATTTGAATACAAGTTTTTGTGTGATCATCTTTTTACTTTTGTTGGTAGATACATAGAAGTGGAATTACTGGATCATATGGTAATTCCATGTTTAACTTTTTTTTTTTTTTTTTTTGGAGACGGAGTCTTGCTCTGTCACCAGGCTGGAGTGCAGTGGCGCCATCTCAGCTCACTGTAACCTCCACGTCCCGGGATCAAGTGATTCTCCTGCCTCAGCCTCCCAAGTAGCCGGAACTACAGGCACGTGCCACCACGCCCAGCTAATTTTTGTATTTTTAGTAGGGACAGGGTTTCACCGTGTTGGCCAGGACGGTCTCGATCTCTTGACCTCATGATCCGCCCGCATTGGCCTCCCAAAGTGCTGGGATTACAGGCGTGAGCCACCATGCCTGGCCGATTCTATGTTTAACATTTTGAGGAGCTGCCAAACCATTTTACAAAGTAGGTTCTCCAGAATTATATGAGGGTTCCAATTTCTCTGTGTCCTTGCTGACAACTGTTATTGCTGCTTTTTTTGATTATAGCCATCCTAATGGGTGTGCAGTGGTTTTGGTTTGCATTTCCCTAGTGACTGATGATGTTGAACTCCTTTTCATGTGCTTGTTGGCCATTTGTATGCTGTCTTTGCAGTGATGTCTATTCAAATTCTTGGCTCATTTTTTTGTTTATATTTGAGACCGGGTCTTTTTTTTTTCTTTTGAGACAGAGTCTTGCTCTGTTGCCCAGGCTGGAGTGCAGTGGTGCAATCTCGGCTCACTGCAAGCTCCGCCTGCCAGGTTCATGCCATTCTCCTGCGTCAGCCTCCAAATAGCTGGGACTACAGGCGCCCACCACCATGCCCGGCTAATTTTTTGTATTTTTAGTAGAGATGGGGTTTCACTGTGTTAGCCAGGATGGTCTCGATCTCCTGACCTTGTGATCCACCCGCCTCGGCCTCCCAAAGTGCTGGGATTACAGGCGTGAGCCACTGCACCCGGCCGAGACTGGGTCTTGCTATGTTGCCCAGTCTGGAGTGCAGTGGCTTCTTAATAAGAGTGATCATAGCTCACTGCAGCCTCAGATTCCAAGAGATACTCCTGCCTCAGGCTCCTGAGTAGCTGGACTAGAGGCATGTGCTGGGTCATCCAGCTTTCTTTGCCCATTTAATTAGGTTACTTGTCTTTATATTGTTGAGTCGTAAGAGTCCTTAATATATTCTGCACGAGTCCTTTATCTGGTATGTAATTTGCAAATATTTTTTCCTCTTTCTGTAAGATTCTTTTTCACTTTCTTGCTGTGTCTTTTTTTTTTTCTTTTAGACACAGTTTTACTCTTGTTGCCCAGGCTGGAGTGCAATGGCGCGATCTTGGCTCACTGCAACCTCCGCCTCCCGGGTTCAAGCAATTCTCCTGCCTCAGCCTCCCGAATAGCAGGGATTACAGGCATGCACCACCACGCCTGGCTAATTTTGTATTTTTAGTAGAGATGGGGTTTCTCCATGTTGGTCAGGCTGGTCTCGAACTCCCGACCTCAGGTGATCTGCCCACCTTGGCCTCCCAAAGTGCTGGGATTACAGGTGTGAGCCGAACCTGGCCTTGCTTGTGTCTTTTTTTTTTTTTTTTTTTTAAAGACGGAGTCTTGCTTTGTCACCCAGGCTGGAGTGCAGTGGCGCGGTCTCGGCTCACTGCAAACTCCGCTGCCCGGGTTCACACCATTCTCCTGCCTCAGCCTCCCAAGTAGCTGGGACTACAGGCACCTGCCACAACGCCCGGCTAAATTTTTGTATTTTTAGTAGAGACGGGGTTTCACCGTGTTGGCCAGGATGGTCTCGATCTCCTCACCTTGTGATCTGCCCGCCTTGGCCTCCCGAAGTGCTGGGATTACAGGCGTGAGCCACTGCGCCCAGCCTGCTTGTGTCTTTTGCAGTTAAGAAAGTTTTAATTTTTGTTAAAGTCTCTATGTGTCTGTTTTTCTTTTTTTGCTTGTGATTTTGGTGTCATATCTTAGAAACCACTGCCTAACCCAAGGTCATAAAGATTTACCCCCTCTCAGTTTTCTTCTAAGAATTTTATAGTTTTAGCTCTTAAAGTTGGGTCTCTGATCGATTTTAATGTTTGAGGTAGGGGTCCACCTTCATTGTTTTACATGTGGACTTTTTCTTTTTTTTGAGATGGAGTTTCACTCTCGTTGCCCAGGCTGGAGTGCAATGGCGCGATTTTGACTCACTACAACCTCTGCCTCCTGGGTTCAAGCGATTCTCCTGCCTCAGCCTCCCGAGTAGCTGGGATTACAGGCGTGTGCTACCATGCCCGGCTAATTTTGTATTTTTAGTAGAGACAGGGTTTCTCCATGTTGATCAGATTGGTCTCGAATTCCCGACCTCAGGTGATCTGCCTGCCTCGGCCTCCCAAAGTGCTGGGATTACAGGTGTGAGCCACCGTGCCTGGCCACACATTTGGACTTTCGGTTGTCTCATCACCATTTGTTTAAAGGATGACTCTACCCCCCATTACGTTGTCCTGATGCCCTTTTTTGAAAATCACATATTTAGGTTTATTTCTGGATTCTCAATTGTATTCTGTTAATCTATATGGCTACCCTTATCCTAGTATCTTTGTATGTACTTATACCACACTGTCTTAATTAGTATAGCTTCATATTACTTTTGAAATGGGGTAGTGGGAGTCCTCCAATTTTGTTGTTTTTCAAGATTGTTTTGACTATTCTGGGTCCTGTGTATTTCCATAAGAATTTCAGGATCGGCTTGTCAATTTTTGCCAAAAAGGCAGATGGGATTTTGAGAGTGAGTGCATTGAATCTGAAGATCAGTTTGGGTAGTATTGCCAAGAATTACATATTTTTAACTGAAAAATTTCTTGAGACAATGTTTATCTGCATAAGGAGCAGTACATTATGATAATTTCTTCCAGCCTAGTCTAGTCTACTTCATTCCATTTTTTCAAATTAAGAAATTGCCATCGTCCGGGCACGGTGGCTCACGCCTGTAATCCCAGTGCTTTGGGAGGCCGAGGTGGGCAGATCACGAGGTCAGGAGTTGGAGACCAGCCTGGCCAACATGGTGAAACCCCGTCTCTACTAAAAATACAAAAATTAGCTGGGCGTGGTGATACACGCCTGTAATCCCAGCTACTGGGGAGTCTGAGACAGGAGAATGGCTTGAACCCAGGAGGTGGAGGTTGCATTGAGCCAAGATCATGCCACTGCACTCCAGCCTGGGTGACAGAGCAAGACTCCATCTCAAAAAAGAAAGAGGCTGGGCACGGTGGCTCATGCCTGTAATCCCAGCACTTTGGGAGGCCGAGGTGGGCAGATCGTGAGGTCAGGAAATCGAGACCATCCTGGCTATCACGGTGAAGCCCTGTCTCCACTAAAAATGCAAAAAATTAGCTGGGCATGGTGGCATGCACCTCTGGTCCCAGCTACTCAGGAGGCTGAGGCAGGAGAATCGCTTGAACCTGGGGGGTGGAGGTTGTGGTGAGCCGAGATCTTGCCACTGCATTCCAGCCTGGGCAACAGAGTGAGATTCCATCTGAAAGATAAAGAAAGGAAGGAAGGAAGAAAGAAAGAAAGGGAGGGAGGGAGGGAGGGAATTGCCAACCCCAACCACTGATTTGAGTACTCACTCCCATGGAACATTCATTATCTGTTGTTTGAAAAATATGCTTCATGTCAGTGGTCCTCAACCTCGACAGCAAATTGCGATCACCTGGGAAACTTTAAAAAACTACGGATGCTGGCCACATCCATGAGACCAGGATGCAGTTGATGAGAAATTCAGCCCGAGCACTTCCAGGTGATTCCAGGGTACAGCCAGAGCTGAGCACCATTGCTATAAATAAACTAAAATTCAGATATTTATACTGCTTTTAAAGCCTTTTCATAGTTGACTGAATGGGATGGAAATGTGCGTATTGCTAACTTACAGGTCCTTATGTGTCACTTTGATGACAAATGTATTAGGTCTGTTCGTGCACTTTCTTTTAACGTAATATGACCTGTGATGCAGTTCTCCTGAGAAATTGAATGATTATGCTATTGACTTGCCCTTGGGTATGTAGGGTTGTCCCTGGTCTATGCAGAGAGCAAAGATAGAGCAGGGTGTTTGGAGATCATCTGTCATTTCTCAGAAATTTTTGTGTCTGCCTTTTTGCAGTAGGAAATGGATTGAGAAGAATATGTAGGAAATTCACAGCTATTTTAGGAACTGTCATATAGAGACCACTAAATCTAAATATACTGTTGATGTATATGAAGCTATTGGTTAGAACTAAGGTCAGAATTAGTGGAAAAATATCGGGACTGGTGTCCTGTCTTAGAGAGATTAAGGAATATTAGGATTGTGGTGGAACGCGTATACATAAAGTAGCTTATTTTACTCATTGAATATTCTTTTATCTGGTTATATTTGAAAGTAAACTGTGGCTGGGCGCGGTGGCTCACACCGGTAATCACCCAGCCCTTTGGGAGGCCGAGGTGGGTGGATCACCTGAGGTTGGGAGTTTGAGACCAGCCTGGCCAACATGGTGAAACCCCATCTCTACTAAAAACAAAAAATTAGCCGGGTGTGGTGGCAGCCACCTGTAATCCCAGCTATTAGGGAAGCTGACACAGGAGGATCACTTGAACTGGGAGGCGGAGGTTGCAGTGAGCCGAGATTGTGCCACTGCAGTCTAGCCTGGGCCACAGAATGAGACCCCGTCTCAAAAAAAAAAAAGAAAAGAAAAAGAAAGTAAAATGTGCATATATACAATATATATAACTATTTTTTTCAAAGTAGAGATTATACAGAGGGTATTTAAGCCTGTTTTTTACTTAGCAATGTATCTTAGATATGTGACTAAATAGTCCTTTATTTGTAGCTCATTTGTGCTGAATACATCATGTTTTATTTGACAAATCCTTCTATTAGGTATTTAGCTTATGAGCCATTTTCTGCTGTGGTGGACATAATACAGTGGTGAACAGCATTGTACCTAAATCTGAGTGCATTTTCCTGATTATTTCTTTAGACTAAATTGTTGGAAGGCATATCATTTGCATTTCTAAGACTTTAACACATACCTAACATACATGCCAGAGACCTCCTGCATTCAGGTTAACACACTGGGAAGTATTGCCATAATAAAACATTTTTTCTTTTTTATGCCAATTTGAGTGAAGAATGGAATCACTATGTTTATTTTGCTTTTCTTTGATACCTAGTGAGTTTGAGTACTTTTTAATGATTCTTTTGGCCATTTATATTTTGTTTGGCTTATTGTGGTTTTTTTTGCCAGTTTTTCCAGTCTTGTATCTGTCTCTCTTTCCTGGTGATTTATAACAGTATTTTTATATCAAGGACGTGAACACTTTAATAAATGTTATACATATTTTCCCCATTTGCCTGGTAATTTTATGATGTATTGGAGAACTAAGTGTTATTTGCAGATTGTTTTTCTTGGTTTAATTTTCAAATTAGAAGTCTCATTTTTCAAACTCTAAAGTTTCATAGGAAACATTTTTCTTAAAGATGAATAAAAATCTGTCAGAACATGATTTTGTTTAAAGTATTTTATAGATTTCTTATTTGCTTGTCTGCTAAAATAATGCTTGGAACAATCAGCTGCCACCTTTGAATTAAAAAGAAAAGTAAAATTTGGAATAGAAGATTTTCCAATATTATTGTCTCTATATTTTAATATTTTTTTCATATATTTAGACATTTTTTTTTGTAGAGACAGGGTCTTTCTATGTTGTCCAGGCTGGTCTTGAACTCTTGGCCTCAAGTCATCCTCCTGCCTGGGCTTCCCAAAGTGTTGGGATTATAGGTATGAGCCACCATGCTGGCCCCATTGTCCCAGTAAATGTGAACCTTAAGTTTGGGCGCTTTTGGTGTTTAGACCCTTTGGGTACACATAATGTCTGTTGGGTTGATGGTGCTCTTTTGTGTTAATTTCTTTTTTCTTTTTCTTTTTTTTTGAGATGGGGGTCTCACCCTGTTGCCCAGGCTGGAGTGCAGTGGTGTGATCTCGGTTCACTGTAACCTCCGCCTCCCGGGTTCAAGCGATTCTCCTGCCTCAGCCTTCTGAGTAGCCGGGATTACAGGCACACGCCACCACGCTTGGCTAATTTTTGTATTTTTAGTAGAGATGGGGTTTTGCCATGTTGGCCAGGCTGGTCTCGAACTCCTGACCTTGTGATCTGCCCGCCTCAGCCTCCCAAAGTACTGGGATTACAGACGTGAGCCTTACAGACGTGAGCCACCGTGCCTGGTCCTTTGCATTAATTTCTTAGTTTTGCTCTAGTAGTATTAAATTGGAGACTTTTGCATCATACTTAGATAATAGCCTTAAATAACTCTTTCTGATTTTACCCTATAGGGTTCTTGTTTAAAAATCGGCATCCGTTTGTATTCCAGCTCTCTGGAAACACTTGTCCTAGCTAGGTTTTAGGGGTTTGCTAGTCTTGTTGGCTCCTTGAGGTTGTGGAGGGGAGCTTAATGTGTGTAGCTTCACAGCATCTGGCTCAGCACAGCTCAGAATAGGTACTACATGTGCCCTGTGTGCATATCCTGGCATTATCCCTTTAACTGTCTCTAGGAGAAATGAGACCAGTATGGGTTCTGGTTCTGGGGCTGCCTCCAACTGGGGATAAGACTCTGTTTCCCCTCTGTGTCTTCCATTGCCAATGGGGGGCCAGGTTGCAGGATTTCTAAGCCCCTTTTGTTCATTCTTTCCACCCCCTTCATTAAGCACTGTCTTTCAGCAGGGTGCTGGGGAGAAGCAGCCTGCCCAGGCTTAGCCATTTCTAGGTCGTCCTCGTTTTGAGTTCACAATTCTGACCTCTAGTTACTTTAATCTGGTTATTATCTAATCGTGATCACTCCTAGACATTTTGGAGAGGTTTAGAAAGTTTTGGGGTTAACAGACATAAAATAGGATTTTCAGCTTAGTTGAAGGTCAACAGTGCTTGTTCACACGCAAAGGCACAGTTTATGAAGGGAAAAATAGAACCATTTGTGTTAACTGAGCTTGACTTATTAGCACCGATAGTTGCCATGGGAGTGTTTTTTTAACTTTGTCATTTTGCCAGGAATGTAAATCGGGGCATTACTCCTTAGATCTTCATGTAATTAGGAGGATGGACAAAGCCCCTATTTTTCTTGAATCAGGAGTTTATTATCCCGTTTATAATACGGGAGTAAATTAGGAAAGGTGTCTTTAATTTTTTTGTTTGTTTTTGTAGAGACCCTTGTTATGTTGCCCAGGCTGGTCTTGAACTTCTTGGCTCAAGTGAGATTATACAGTGTGAGCCACTACCAGTATCTTTCGTTTTTTCATGATAAGTACAACTTAGGCATTGAGCAAAACTGTTTTTAGTGACTTGTCTTGCATATATATTTATGAATTTTGAGCTTTTAAAAAATCACAAATAGGCCAGGTGTGGTAGCTCATACCTGTAATCCTAGCACTTAGGGAAGCTGAGGCAGGAGGATCACTTGAGCTCAGGAGTTCGAGACCAGCCTGAGCAGCATAATGAGATCTCGTCTCTTTTCTTTTCTTTTTTTTTTTTTTGGGGACAGAGTCTCGCTCTGTCACCCAGGCTGGAGTGCAGTGGTGCAGTCTCAGCTCACTGCAGCCTCTGCCTCCCCATTTCAGGTGATTCTCCTGCCTCAGCCTCCCCAGTAGCTGGGACTACAGGTGCATGCCACCATGCCCAGCTAATTTTTGTAGTTTTTTAGTAGAGTCGGGGATGGGAGGGTTTCACCATGTTGGCCAGGCTGGTCTCGAACTCCTGACCTCGTGATCTGCCCACCTCAGCCTCCCAAAGTGCTGGGAGTACAGGCATGAGCCACGGTGCCCAGCTTGAGAGCTTGTCTTTATTAAAAAAAAATAATAATAATACGTGTTCATTAATAATGGTTAAAGTAGAAAAACAAAAAGAAATAGGACACCACCTACATCTGAAACCCTGGGAAGATCCAGTTAATATTGTAGTAAGTGTCCTAGAATGCCTATCTTGCTGAAGAAGTCATGTTCATAAAGAGAGAGATGTTCTGCCTTTTTTCACCCCACTTTGTAATAGATCATAACTATTTCCCTGTGTCATGATAGTATACTGCAGAGTGGCCCTGTAGTATTTTATCATACAGTGTTTTGCTATCGTAATTTATTCATTCAGTCTTTACATAGTGGATTCTACTTGTCCTACAACTGAAATATGTACAATTACATTCATCTAATTACTTTTCTAGAACAGTGATTTCATTGGATATGCATTTTTGTTATTTTTTTTTTGAGATGGAGCTTCTCTCAGCCACCCAGGCTGAAGTGCAGTGGTGTGATCTTGGCTCACTGCAACCTCCGCCCCCCTGATTCAAGTGATTCTCCTGCCTCAGCCTCCTGAGTAGCTGGGACTACAGGCGGGCGTGTACCACCACACCTGGCTAATTTTTGTATTTTTAGTAGAGACAGGGTTTCACCATGTTGGCCAGGATAGTCTCGATCTCTTGACCTCATGATCTGCTGCCTCAGCCTCCCAAAGTGCTGGGATTACAGGCATGAGTCACCGTGCCCGGCAGACTCTCTTTTTTTTTTGAGATGAAGTCTTGCTCTTGTCCCCCAGGCTGGAGTGCAATGCCATGATCTCGGCGCACTGCAGCCTCTGCCTCCGGGTTCAAGCAATTCTCTTGCCTCAGCCTCCCGAGTAGCTGGGATTACAGGTGCATGCCACCACGCCCAGCTAATTTTTGTATTTTTAGTAGTGATGGGGTTTCACCGTGTTGGCCAGGCTGGTCTCGAACTCCCGACCTCAGGTGATCCGCCCATGTTGGCCTTCCAAAGTGCTGGGATTACAGGCGTTAGCCACCGTGCCCGGCCGGGGAGGGACTTTCTAGCACAAAAGTAATAGAAGAAATTGCAAAAAGATACTAGTATGACTTAAGAGAGACTTAAAAAATGTCCTCTATTTCAAGTGGTATAAACAAAATGGAAAAAGCAGTCATTTGCTTTTTCTGGGGAAAATGCTTTCAGTAGACAAAGGGTTAATATCCTTAACCTATAAGAAACTCTTGCAAAAAGAAAAAGCAAAGTAAAAGTAGGAAAAAAAAAAGAAACTCTTGGCCGGGCGTGGTGGCTCATGCCTGTAATTCCAGCACTTTGGGAGGGCGAGGCAGGTGGATCACAAGGTCAGGAGATCAAGACCATCCTGGCTAATACGGTGAAACCCCGTCTCTACTAAAAATATAAAAAATTAGCCGGGCCTGGTGACAGGTGCCCGTAATCCCAGCTACTCGGGAGGCTGAGGCAGGAGAAAGGCGTGAACCCGGGAGGAAGAGCTTGCAGTGAGCCGAGATCGCGCCACTGCACTCCAGCCTGGGCGACAGAGCGAGACTCTGTCTCAAAAAAAAAAAAAGAAAGAAAGAAACTCTTGCAAATGAATCAGAAAAACCCAAACACGTACTGAAAAAAATGGGTAAAAGGCACTTACAGTTCATAAAAGAACTGTAGACACATGGATCAAAGAAATCAAGATCAAAACCAGATGTCATTCTTTACATGTCATATTTGCAAAAATTAAAAAAAAAAAAACAGGCGGGGCACGGTGGCTCACGCCCGTAATCCCAGCACTTTGGGAGGCCAAGACAGGTGGATCACTTGAGGTCAGGAGTTTGAGACCAGCCTGGCCAGCATGGTGAAACCCTGTCTTTACTAAAAATACAAACATTAGCCAGGCGTGGTGGTGCGTGCACGTAATCCCAGCTACTTGGGAGGCTGAGGCAGGAGAATGGCTTGAACCCGGGATGTGGAGTTTGCAGTGAGCCAAGATGGCACCACTGCATTCCAGCCTGGGCAACAGAGTGAAACTCTGTCTCAAAAAATAAATAAGTAATAAAAAACAATCTAGGAATGGCAAGTGAGGTTAACGTCATATTCTTTCTTTTTCTTTTTTTCTTACTCACCGCTGCACCAATGAAGAAATACATAGTTTTCTTCCGTTGTGCTTTGTCAGTTTGTCTGCATTCCCAGAAGGAATTGGGAAGCTTTTTCATTTCCCATTTCTTACGAGGAAGGCTGGGAAATAACTAAGAATTTGTCTGGGCCTAGCACCTTTTGGAAAAGAGTAATTTGCTTTTGTAATTTTCTCCATTTATTGTTACTTGTTCAGGTTTTCAAAAAATAGTTTTTGGCCAGGCACGGTGGCTCACACCTGTAATCCAGCATTTTGGGAGACCAAGGCGGGTGGATCACTTGAGGTCAGGAGTTCAAGACCAGCCTGGTCAACATGATGAAACCCCATCTCTACTAAAAATACAAAAATTAGCCAGGTGTGGTGGTGGGCCCTGCAATCCCAGCTACTCGGGAGGCTGAGGCAGGAGAATCGCTTGAGCCCTGGAGGCGGAGGTTGCAGTGAGCTGAGATCACGCTACTGCACTCCAGCCTAGGTGACAGAGCGAGACTCCGTCTCAAAAACAAAAACAAAAACACTGAAAAAATAGCTTTCCCCCCAAAATTGCCCATTTCATCAAGATTTTCAAGTGCATACATGTGCCTCTTTTGTAAGACCTTGAAAAAAATACAAACATTGGGAATGATAGTATAAGGATAAAGGATATAAGGGTAGTATAAGGTTAAAAATAAACTTAAAAAACAAAATGCCAAAGCATGAAGAATATGTAGTGTTTGAGTTTGCCCTTGTTTTCAGAAGATATTTGTCATATTCAGGAAGTATCTTTTAATTTGCATTGAAGATATTTGGTTTTTGCTTTTTATTTATTTTTATTATTATTATTTTTTTTATTTTTTGAGACGGAGTTTCGCTCTTCTTGCCCAGGCTGGAGTGCAATGCGCGATCTCGGCTCACCGCAACCTCCGCCTCCTGGGTTCAAGCGATTCTCCTGCCTCAGCCTTCCCGAGTAGCTGGAATTACAGGCATGCGCCACCATGCCTGGCTAATTTTGTATTTTTAGTAGAGATGGAGTTTCTCCATGTTGGTCAGGCTGACCAACTCCTGACCTCAGGTGATCCACCCACCTCAGCCTCCCAAAGTGCTGGGATTACAGGCATAAACCACCGCGCCTGGCTGGTTTTTGCTTTTTAAATCAGGAGGAAGTGTTTTGTCAGCCTTTTTGGCATCTACTGAATTGATAGAATGATTTGGCTGTTCAAAGGTTCTGGCCTGTTATGATACTGGCCCTGGCATTCTCTCCTTCCTGCTTTTGAAGAGTTAACATCCCTTTTTAAGGAAATGATGTTGAGTCAGTGGTAGATGTTAAATAACATAGTAAGATACACAGATGGCAATTCTGTAGTATTTCTTCCCCAGTTTTTTGTTGAATGTTTTCTGTATGAAGTCAGTGTCTGGAAACCACAGCATGTAGTATGTACTTTTGCACATCCTAATTAAGAAGCAACAGAAGCACTGTGAACAGATTCTTGAGAGTTCAGCGGGCCTTGATGGGGGAAAGTCATGTGGCCATGAGTGTGTCCCAAGTGATGTTTCCTCTGACCTGCCGCAGCGCCCAGGCTTTGATCTCAGCCCCGTAGCCTTGCGTGCAAAGGACAGTTTTCATGTTTCCAGAGTGCGGTGGAACCCACGAATGGGAGGGGCATTCAGCGGAGCGCTCTGCCAGAAGTTCAAGGTTGCTTACTGATAGCTCAGTCTTGTTTTTGTTTGTATCGTGATTCCTTCTTAACTCCTTCCTCAGAGATTCCTTTCTCAAAAATGTATTTGCATGTTCCCAGTATTAAAACCTCTGACCCAGTTCTGTGGTTTGGTCTCAGTACTTGTTCTGTGCAGTAGTTAAGTCCTTCCAGCCATCTTGCCACTCAGCTTAGAAAAATACTCTCCAAAAACATGTCTTTAAGGAGTCATAGTACTTTCGCTTCCCCATTCAGAATTTTCCAATGATTTGTAGCTAAAAATGACATTCTGTTAATTTGCACTTTGCCCTCATGGAGCCGTTTTTAATTAATAGTTTTTTAAAGGATTTGCAAAAGAAGCATACACATGTTGAAAAATAATTCTAGCTTGTCAGACTTGTGTTTAGTAAATTGAGAAGGTCACACGATCTTTTCTTATGTCCCCCCACCACTTCAAAGCAGTTTGATCTGTATCCTTGCCAGCCCTGTTCTGTGTACACAAATGCATACTATGTAATTATCCTTTTAATAAAAGTGAAATCATAACCACACATATTGTACAACCTGTATTTTTCAAGGAACTGTATTTGTTATTATAACTTAACTGAAAGTAAGCCATTCTTTTAAAGTGTCTCTCTTGTTTTCTTTTCTCATGTTCTTTTCATTATTCCTCTTGACTAGACATTGATGGATGTCACCTTTGTGCCTCCCTTCTGACATTGCAAATTTCTGATAAACATAGCTTAAGGCTTGGCATAGTGGCTTGTGCCTGTAATCCCAGCACTTTGGGAGCCGAGGCGGGTGGATCACCTAAGGTCGAGTTCAAGACCAGCCTGGCCAGCATGGTGAAACCGTGTCTCTACTAAAAATACAAAAAATTAGCCAGGCATGGTGGCGGGCACCTGTAATCCCAGCTGCTCGGGAGGCTGAGGCAAGAGAATCGCTTGAACCCGGGAGTGGAGGTTGTAGTGAGCCAAGATTGCGCCACGGCACTCCAGCCTGGCTGATAGAGCGAGACTCTGTCTCATTTAAAACAACAACAACAACAAAAAAACCCCAAAAAACCCCCCAAAAACCCCCACATAGCTTAAGATAGATTTATGTGTAGAGATTTTATTTTGAGAAATAAATTACTACTTTTTTTTTCCTTGCATGCAAAATGTTTTAGAAAGGGAAAGACATCAATTTCTTCATTCACGTTCTAATAATTTAAAGTGAGTATTTTTTCCCAAATAGCACAAGACCAGTGTTTAGTTTCCAAAATTAAAAAAAAAAAAAAGACTCATTAATGGTTCCTTGAAGGCTGGACTGGTACCAGTCTGATGGCATTTGTGTGCTATTTAACTTGGGGCCGTTGGCGATTGTTGATGCTAACTTGCCCAAGAACAAATGGTAAAAGTTGATGTCTCAACATAAGGATTTTCCAGTGAAAATCTGGCTAAACTGTTGGTTGCCTTGCACGTTTTTCTTCACAAGGGAGGGCCAGGCTCATGGCTGGGGCTGGGATGGCTGTTCCCAAGACAGCCACTGAGTCAGGCTCTGGGTTCCCTTTATTGTGGAACATATGCATAGGTACAAGAGTGGATAAAACATAGCCGTTTAATAAATAGTAAAAGAAACATCTGTGTACCTGCTCATATCCCAGTTTGAGAAACAGAATGTGACCGGCTTTTTGAGAAGCACCCTCCCCGTGTGCTAGTACATTTTTAAGAGGCTTTAACAGAAAGTGACTTATTTATTTATTTTTTTTAAATCAAAGACCCTGTGCTAGGGAATATGGAGTTTAAAAGTTATCAATGGAGAAATCCCAACTGAGTGCAAATCACTTTTTTTGCTTTTGTTTTGAGATGGCGTGTTGCTCTGTTGCCCAAGTAGGACTGCAGTGGCACAGTCATGGCTCACTGCAGCCTTGACCTCCTGGGCTCAAGGAATCCTCCTGCCTCAGCCTCCTGAGTAGCTGTGACTACAGGTGTGTGCCACCACGACGAGATAATTTTTTTTTTTTTTTTTTTGTAGAGACAAGGTTTCACTATGTTGCCCAGGCTGGTCTTGAACTCCTGGCCTCAAGTGATCCTCCCATCCCAGCCTCCCTACAGGTGTGAACCACCGTGCCTGGCCCAAAATTGCTTTTTATTTATTTATTTATTTTTGAGACAGAGTCTCACTCTGTCATCCAAGCTGGAGTGCGGTTGCACAGCTCACTGCAACCTCAACCTCCTGGGCTCAGGTGATTCTCCACCTCTCAGTCTCCTGAGTAGCTGGGATCACAGGTGTGCACCACCACACTTGGCTAATTTGTGTGTGTGTGTGTGTGTGTGTGTGTGTGTGTGTTTTGTAGAGACCACCCTATTGCTCAGGCTGGTCTCGAACTCCTGGGCTTAAGTGACCTGCCTGCCTTGACCTACCAAAGTGCTGGGGTTACAGGTGTGAGCCACTGTGCCTGGCTGAAAAGTTTTTTTATAGGTGTTCTAAAATACTATCTTTCAAAATACTTTGTAGAAATGGAGAGTGGATTTTTAAAGAATTGAGGGTGCAGTTTGTGACCCTGCCTAGAGACAGGCTGGGGCCTTGGAGGCAGTCCATAAAAATGAAGTAGTAATAGAGCAAATTCTAGGATTGGGCATGGCTGGGTGAAAAATAGACTCCATTCATGCAGAGTACCTCCTGCTAGGTTTGTTATTACTTTTAATTTACCATTTGCTTTTCTCCAGCTAGGTCTTGACTCCACTAACGGGGACTTCTCATACGGCTTTGAACTTGGACCTTGGTGCATAAGCAAATGTAACTCAGCGAATTGTAATGGAAAGCATATGGACAGGTCTACGCCACATCACTTAGGTGCGTGTAAAACACAATCTCCAGTTGTGTTTCCTTTTCCTTTTCTTACTTTTTCTGAAACAGGTTCTTGCTCTATCACCCAGGGTGGAGTGCAGTGGCACGATCACAGCTCGTGGCAGCCTTGGCCTACTGGGCTTATGTGATCCTTCTACCTCAGCTTCCCAAGTAGCTGGGACTACAGACGTGAGCCATGGTGCCTGGCTAATTTTTAAATTTTTTTTTCTTAGAGATGGGGTCTCACTATATTATCTAGGCTGGTTTCCAACTCCTGGGCTCAAGCGATCCTCCTGCCTCTACCTCCCAAAGTGCTGGGATTATAGGCTTCAGCCACCATGCCTGGCTAGTTATGCTTCATGGTAGAATTGGGCTGGCAGCTCTGTAGCATTAGAACCCTTTTGTACTTGACCTTACCTTTGTACGTTTTTTACGTGTTGAGAACGGTCTAAATGCACAACCTTTGGAATAATGAATTGTTAGGTTAATGCTAATGATAAGGTAATAGACTTCTTTAGGCCAAATTCCACGCAAGTAGATTAAACTAGAAAATAAACAGGCACAGTCTTGCCACTTATATTAATTACAAAGTAGGAGGTAAATATTTTCAGTTTTCTTTCATGCTTTTGACTTTATTATCAGCAAAAATTTGTTGAGTACCTCCTGCTCTTGGCCCTCCGTGAGGTTTATACGTGAGGAACCTGGAGTGGAAAGAGATTTAAGAATTGTTTCCTCACCCCTTTTCAAGCATTCTCTGCAGTTTAATTAATGAGACTAACCACATGTACATTACTCAGGAGCATTCTTTTTTTCCTCCTTCTGTTGTTTCCCTTATCCCCAAAGCTTGATGAACATTTTGATTATTTTTAATTTTTTGCTATTATAAGCAATACTGCAATCAAATTTCTTCTTGGGGAAAACATCTTAGCAGTAGTAGTGATGGGCACAGTGCATGACCTTTTAAAATTTGATACATGTATAGGTAAATTATCCTTCAGAAAAGCCGCAAGTGTTTCACATCTGCCGATACATTCTCTCAGATACTCTGCTTCTGGATGTGGTGGTGCACGCCTATAGTCCCAGCTACTCTGGAGACTGAAACAGGAGGATCACTTGAGCCCAGGAGTTCAAGGATTTAGTGAGCTCTGATTGTGCCAGCGCACTCTAGCCTGGGTGGCAGAGTGAGACCCTGCCTCAAGAAAAAAAAAAAAAAAAAAAGGATGCTGTCAGATACATTGACTTGTTAAAACTAAATTTATTCAGTATGGTGGATGTAAAATGTTATGTCAGTGTTGTTTTAAAAAAATTTTATGTGCAGTAAAATTTACTTTCTGTGTACACTTATAAGAGCTTTTACAAATACTTAGAGGGGATCACTCCTTTTAAAAAAATTTTAAGACTTCTAATAAAGGCTGGGTGTAGTGGCTCATGCCTGGAATCCCAGCACTTTGGGAAGCTGAGGCGGGCGGATCACCTGAGGTCCGGAGTTCAAGACCAGCCTGTACAACATGGAGAAACCCTGTCTCTATTAAAAGTACAAAAAATTAGCCAGGCATGGTGGCGCATACCTGTAATCCCAGCTATTCGGGAGGCTGAGGTAGGAGAATCGCTTGAACCTGGGAGGCAGGAGGTTGCAGTGAGCCGAGATTGTGCCATTGTACTCCAGCCTGGGTAACAAGAGGGAAACTCTGTCTCAAAACAAAACAATGACAACAACAAAAAAAACCAAAAAACACTTCTAATAAAGAAGTCTCTACTTACTACTAAAAACAAAACAAGGCCGGGCACAGTGGCTCACACCTGTAATCCCAGCACTTTGGGAGGCCAAGGTGGGTGGATCATGAGGTCAGGAGTTCGAGACCAGCCTGGCCAACATGGCTGGTGAAACCCCGTCTCTACTAAAAATACAAAAATTAGCCAGGCATGGTGGCGCACACCTGTATTGCTAGCTACTCTGGAGGCTGAGGCAGGAGAATTGCATGACCTCAGGAGGCTGAGGTTGCAGTGAGCCGAGATCATGCCATCGTGCTCCAGCCTGGGTGACAGAGACAGACGTCGTCTCAAAAAAAAAAAAGAAAAATACACATCCTGACCTTTTTAATGATTTACCTTGTCAAGCCTGTTTTCTTAGTTCTGAAGGAAGAGGACACCTGGCTCTTTTCTTAGAGGTCACCTTTAATACCAGGTCTTTCTTTGAAATCACTCCCTTAGTTCATCCATTTTTCTCATTGGCATTTTCACCATTGCAGTTGCCAAGGTCATTTTCCTTGGATTAACACAGTAGCTTCTTGATCCCCATTTTGAGATTATCCTGTGGTGGACGACTGCTCTCCTCGCCTGCCCAGAAACTCATGTTGCATGAAGCCGTTCTGTGTTGAGTTTGCTTTTCAAGGCTACTTTGACTCCACAAAGGGTTTTCTTCCTTTGCCTCCCTGTCCTCTGACCTCCAGGTGCTGGGGTTAGGCTGTTGTGTTCAGCGCCCAAAAGACGCATCATATGCCACCTACCTCTGGACCTCCGTAGTGGCATCTCTCTTGGGATTCCCGCCATCTTTCAAGGCTAACCCTAATCTCACTTCCTAAAAGTCATTCCTGACAACTTCCAGCCTGGAGTTCCAGTGTCCTTGAGCTCTCCTGCCCAGCTCTATGGTTGTATGTGTTTTCTCTGATTTGCTAGGTGTCCGGACTGTACAATCAGATGGGAAAGAGCCTCAGCATAATGTATCTCCATCTCCTTGCTCCAGCCCACCAAGGGCAGTCAGGGATCTAGTTGGATGGTTGGTGTCATTCCATTTGCCTTGAGATGATCAGTACAGATCCTAAAATATCACGGTCTTACTAAACTGAGAAAAGAGGAGGCTTGCTCGTACCTTTCGTTTTTGTCATTAATAACATACAGGTGATTGTTGAGTGCCTGGCTTTCATAGCTGAGAACACCCATTCTGCTTGGTGCCTGAAGCCTGCAGACTGGGTGCATGGTTCTGGTTGAAGGGTATTTTAGCATTTGCTAGAACCACCACAGATGCTGCGGAACTCAGTTATAAACTGGATCAAACACTTGGAGCAGTGAAGAGAATTTTCTATTTTATTGGTGCCTGATTTCCAAGAGGCCTATGTATCGGGAAATCCTGGTGTTTTTGGTTTATAGACTTTGTGCTGTTGACGTCAATGTCTCATTTTCTCATTACCAAACATGTCGTATAAAAATGTTGTGTTGCTTATGGTTTGATCAGTAGCAAAGAGAATTAAATATTTACTGGAGAAATTGGGTGGTTTCACAAACCTATGTAAACACTGATGGTGATTACAGAGCTTACATAAGAAGGTAAGGAAGGAAGATGGAACAGTTGTGTAACAGTTACTATGAAAGAGATTCCAAGCAAATTAGAACAAGTCTGGCCTTTTCAACTGGTTATTTTGAAAAATCAACATGTTAGTGTTGGATTAAGACCAGCTGTTTATAAATTGTCTAAGTTGTTTGCTGATTTTTCTGTATGGTGTTAAAAAAAAAACTCATCAATAAATTTGTCCCATGACTTCTAATGATAATCCTTTTTAAATACACATATTATTTTGTTTTAGGTTTGCCATAAACTGGAACTTGCAGATCAATAGCAATAAAGCCTTTCTGGATTTGAGTAATGTTTACCTTTGGATGGGCCCTGTGTTTATTTAGATTTCTTGTACTGGTTCTGGGCTTCCCTCAAAGAGCCCCTGCCTCCAGCCCTTCTGACCTTTCATCTTGTGCTTCTCGTTAGCACTGGATTCTGCTTCTGGATTTCTGCTTTGGTCTCTTTTATATCTGCTTCCTTCCCTCCTCTCAGTTCTGTGTGTGGAAAATTAGGTTATGGCACCTGCTCCCCATCATGTAATCTGCCCAGCTGACTGTGTAGGATATTAATAATAGGGTTGTCTTTGATGTTTGGATAAAGATGGCCATGCCTGTGTGTGTGTGTGTGTGTGTGTGTGTGTGTGTGTGTGTGTGTGTGTAAAACTATCAAAAGTTTACACATCCATAGGATGTGATCTTATGATTACCCTGGTTGTGTGCACTGAAATAGCATTTTCTCTTTCCCTGGTATCCACGTATTTTAGACTAGCAGTGCCTAATACCATTATAATGGAAGTCACATATGTAATTTTGAGGTAGCTACATTAAAGGAAAACAAGAACAATTAATTTTAGTAATATATTTTATAAGCTGATATATTAAAAATAGTATTTCAACACAATCAATATAAAGTTATTAATGAGATATTTGCATTCTTTTTTATTTTCATAGCAACCCTTTGAAGTCTATTGTATATGTTACATTCATAGCACATACCAGTTGGACCAACACGTTTAAGATGCTCAGTAGCCACCTGGGGCTGGTGGCTCCCGCATTGGATAGCACAGTTTAAACCCCACATAGCTTTACTTACCACTGAGCAATATGTTTTCAACTTCCAAGCTCTTGGATTTTTCAGTATTTCATAATGTAAGCCCCTTCTATTTCAGGGACTATGTAATAATACATACTCACACTTGAATGATGCTACTAAAGCTTCCCCTTCCTCACCTTTTTCCTTTCAAATTTAGATTTTCTGTTGCCTGGAAAATGCACATGAACCAGTTCAACAAGTAAATTGATCTCCCCTGCTGCCCCCTACCCCAGTCTATATGTATATTTTTCTTTTTTACCCAAGAATCACAAATACGTTCTATAGCTTATAATTTTATTTTTTTGGAGGGGACAGGGTCTCCCTCTGTTATCCAAGCTGGAGTATGGTGGTATGATTATAGCTCACCGCAGCCTTGATCTCCTGATCTTCCCTTTTTTTTTTTTTTTTTGAGATGGAGTCTCACTCAGTCACCCAGGGTGGAGTGCAGTGGCACAATCTTGGGTCACTTTAACCTCTGCCTCCCAGGTTCAAGCAATTCTCCTGCCCCAGCCTCCTGAGTAGCTGGAATTACAGGCGCATGCCACCACGCTCAGCTAATTTTTGTATTCTTAGTAGAGATGGTGTTTCTCCACATTGGCCACACTGGTCTCCAACTCCTGACCTCAAGTGATCTGCCTCCCTTGGCCTCCCAAAGTGCTGGGATTACAGGCTTGAGCCACCGCGCCCGGCTGAGGGTGATGCTTCCTCTTCAGCTTGCCTGGTAGCTGGGACTACAAGCATGCACCACCATACCTGGCTAATTTTTTGTAGAGACGGGGTTTTGCTGTGTTACCCAGGCTGGTCTCGAACTTCTGGGCTCAAGTGATACGCCTGCCTTGGCCTCCCAAAGTACTGGGATTACAAATGTGAGCCACTGGGCCCAGCCAGTTTATAATTTTGACAAGTTAAAGTTTGGTTGCAATGAATGAGTCTCATTTCTTTTTCAAATAAAGAAGATCTAGGAAATGTGAAGAAGTATAGTAACTAATGTTAGATAAAGACAGCCCTTGGAAGAGTTGAGATCCAAGAATAAAAAGGATTTAAGGAAAATCAGGAACCCCTGAACACAGTAGGTTTACCGAGTATGAAGAGCGCTTACCTTTTGACCACACCTTTGGTTTCCTAAGTTACTCAGGTGCCATCAGCAAGCCCTTAGGAATGATAAATTTAGGCTCCTGGTTACCAGGAAACTCTAGCCCTCCCAGCGCTCTCTCCGGGAGCACACTGACTATATCAATAGGGTGTTTTTTCTCAGCACTGGTGTTGACTGCCAGAATTTCTCTTCTAGTTTGTCTTACCTGTATATTTATTTCAGTGTTGTCCTTAGATAATGGCTCAAGCTTTTAAGAATTATGAAAGTGACATATGTACACTGTAGAAAAATAAGGGGAAAAAAAACCACATATAATCCCATCATCTGGAGATAATCATGTACTATTTTGGTGTTTTCCTCCATTTTCCTTTCTTTTTTTTTTTCTTCTTTTCCCTTCTCTTCTACTCTTCTCTTCCTTCCTTTTTTTCTTTTCTTCTTTTTTTTTTTTTTGAGACAGAGTCTTGCTCTCATCACCCAGGCTGGGATGCAGTGGTGCGATCTCACTGCAACTCTACCTCCCGGGTGCAGGGGATCCTCCTGCCTCAGCCTCCTGAGTAGCTGGGACTGCAGGAGTGTGCTACCACACCTGGCTAATTTTTTGGTGTCCCTTCATTTTCTGCATGTGTGCACACACTGAAATGGGATTATCAGGTTTGTTTTGTAAGCCTGTCTTTTTCTCAGCTTAATAATGCACTCCTTACGTTGCCACGTCAGTCACCCATGTTTTAATCTCTGTAATATGCTCATATAAGAATGTGCCCACAATTGTACCAACCAGTCCTCTATTTTAGGCATTAATATTTTCCCCTCCGGTTTTGGATTACTCTTAAGCATTATTTTAATGAACACTCACAAAATGAAAAATTTAAGCCTGTTTTAATTATTTTGCTAGGATAAATTCCTTAAGAGTAAAATTGTTAGGTCAAAGGCTATGTGTATTTTTAGAGCCTTTGATTGGTGATGTTAAATTACCATCTAAAAATGTTATGTCTGGGTGCAGTGGTTCACGCCTATAATCCCAGCACTTTGGGAGGCTGATGTGGGCGGATTGCTTGAGCCCAGGAGTTCAAGACCAGCCAGGGCAACGTGGGGAGACCCCATCTCTACCAAAAATAGAAAAATTAGTATGTGCCTACAATCCCAGCTACTTGGGAGGCTGAGGTGGGAGGATCACCTGAGCCCAGGAAGGTCAAGGCTGCAGTGAGTCATGATTGTGCCACTGCACTCCAGCTTCGGCGACAGAGTGAGACCCTATCTCAAAAAAAAAAAAATAAGTTAATGGCAATTATTACTCCCACTAGCAGTATATCCAAAGTGCTTGCATGTTAACGGGATGTTAAAAATTATTTACTAAATTTACAATTACAATTTGTTGTGTAAATTATAAATGGTACATTTTATTTTATTTCTGCCTTTTTGATTTTTTGCTTTTTTTGAGACAGAGTCTCACTATGTCACCCAGGCTGGAGTGCAGTGGCACGATCTCAGCTCACTGCAACCTCCGCCTTCTGGGTTCAAGTGATTCTGGTGCCTCAGCCTCAGGAGTAGCTGGGACTACAGGTGTGTGCCATCATGCCTGGCTAATTTTTATATTTTTAGTAGAGACGAGTTTTCACCATGTTGGGCAGGCTGGTCTTGAACTCCTGGCCTCAAGTGATCCACCCATCTTGGCCTCCCAAACTGCTGGAATTATAGGCGTGAGCCACCGTGCCTGGTCAGATTTTTTACATTTTTTTTTTTTAATAAGAAAGCTTACATATGGTCATATTCCTATTGGCAACACAGAGAATCATATTAAAGGAGTTATGGCAGCCTTAGGGATTCTTATAGCCATGCAGACTACTTTTAAGTGGCTGTGACTAAGGGGTCCTGAAGCCAGCATGCCAGAGCACCTGCTTTCCTGACTTGGTGGCTTGCTGGATACATCTTTAGGTATATACCCTTCGCTTATTTTCTGCTGATCACAATTTAGGAACTGGATAGACCCAGAAAACGTGGATCCCTGGTTGGCTTCATGAACTTGAGAAAAGCATAACTTTGGATAACGAAGGACATTTGGCATGAATTGTGCTCCTTGCTTTGGGAGAATAGCAAAGAGTGAAGTGAGTGGTTTGGATTTTGGGAGATGTGGAAAGGATTTGCTGAGGAATTGATATTTACATTCTCCAGGTGTTGCAGTATTTCCAGGTAGAGGGAATAGCAGGCTGTGTCCTCCAGCCTTAATTCAACTACCACTGTTAGTTTTGAAGCCTTTTTCCTCTTTGCCATCATCTGGCAACTTTTTTTGAGATAGTCTTGCTCTGTCACCCAGGCTGGAGTGCAGTGGCGTTATCTTGGCTCACTTGCAACCTCCGCCTCCCTGGTTCTAAGCGATTCTCCTGCCTCAGCCCCCTGAGTAGCTGGGATTACAGGTGCATGCCACCACACCCGGCTAATTTTGTATTTTTAGTAGAGATGGGGTTTTACCATGTTGGCAAGGCTGATCTCGAACTCCTGACCTCAGGTGATCCATTGCCTCGACCTCCCAAAGTGCTGGGATTACAGGTGTGAACCACTGCGCCAGGCCATCTAGCAACTTCTTGACCTTTCTTTATGCCCCTTGAATGTTGGCTCCTGGCCTGCCACATTTCTTTCCACTGTGTCTTCTAGCATCATCTCTCAGTCATTGGCTTATCCGGCCACGGGACCTCACTGACCTTTTACCTTTTGCAGGTAGTTTTACTTCCAGTTTATATCAGCTCTCCAAGGCCCAGTCGTCTCCCAGACAGCACTTTGGGATCCTGAGCTGGGAGTGTGTCTACACACCCTGTCCTCCCTAGCTCTCATTCCTCCCCTTCATTGGTCCTGGTGCTCCAGCTCTGTGGTGCTCTCTGGCTTCCTCTTGCCTCCCCAGTCCTTTTTACCTGCTATGGACGCCACAGGAAATCACGTGGCTGCCATCTTACTAACATGGTCTCCTCCCTCTCTGAGCTGTCTCCAGAACTTGTCAAGCTCCCTCAGTGCCCTGGTCTTAACTATTCTGTTTTTTTGGGGCGGGGGTGGTTGAACTCTGCTGGAGAGAAACCAGATAACAAGGTGACTTTCTCTATTTCATATTATGAGTTCTGGGCTCAGCTGGACTTTGATTTTTTTTTTTAAAATAATATCATTTTTCTCATCGTTTTTCTTCTTCCATAGTCACTTCTGTCCAATCCCATTCCCAGCCTTTTTACTCTCAGCCATGACCTCTGCTTCTTAGTTCATTAAGAAAACAAGTGATCAGATAAGCACTCCCCCAACTTCCTGCCCTTCTCTCACCTCATGCTGCCTTGCATAAGGGCAACTGTCTACGTACATCTCTACCCACAGAGGCTATGAGGCAATCACTGCAGATGGTCTGTGTGGAACTGTCCGAACAAATTCCAAAAGTTTTCCTATCAGGGTTATATGAGAACTGCTTTTCGCTCCCTGTGGCTTAGTTAGAGATTCTCTGGCTGAGGGGGATATGTTTGTGTTTTCATAAAAGACAATATTTTAGAAGTGATGTGATACTTGGAGGGGGTTAAATCATCCCCAAAATTAAATCTCCTCCCATCATTAATGGCACAGTCAGGGCTGGAATCTCAGTCATGTGTTCAGTGGCCTGTCCTTATCTGAAATAAAAATACTTTAGATCAAGGGTGTCCAATCTTTTGGCTTCCCTGGGCCACACATAAAATACTCTATCACTAATGATAGCTGATGAGCTTTAAAAAAATCGCAAAAAATCTCAAATGTTTTAAGAAAGTTACGAATTTGTGTTGGGCTGCATTCACAGCTGTCCTGGGCCGAGAGCTGGACAAGCTTGCTTTAGATAGGCCCCACTCTGGGGGATTGGAGATAAAGAGGGCGTAAAATTTATTTGTAATTAAAAAAATAGATAGGCCAGGCGTGGTGGCTCACGCCTGTAATCCCAGCACTTTGGGAGGCCAAGGTGGGCGGATCATGAGGTCAGGGAGATCGAGACCATCCTGGCTAACAAGGTGAAACCCCGTCTCTACTAAAAATACAAAAAATTAGCTGGGCATGGTGACACGTGCCTATAGGGAGAATTGCTTGAACCTGGGAGGTGCAGGTTGCAGTGAGCCAAGATCGTGCCGCCGCACTCCAGCCTGGGCGACAGAGCGAGACTCCGTCTCAAAAAAAAAAAAAAAAGAAAAAGAAAAAAAAAAAAGGATGTGTAATCAGAATGTGCATGAGGACAGGCCAGGCAGGGAGAATAAGCCTCCTTCCTGTCTGGTCCTTGTCCCAGTTTCCATCTCTGGAGGCAGCCACTTTTACCAGTTTTTGTGTGTTCAGACTGTATATCCTTTTAAAGATAGATAGTCTTTGGTTAAACATTTGCTTTTAATTGTGACATTTCAAATATAAAGAAAACTAAAGAATGAAAACTTACCTGCTAGATACCCAGACCTAATAAATCTAAACATGTCATTTTTGCTTCAGGTATTTTGTTTTTGCTTTTTAAGGAAATTGAAACATTTCAGATACCTGGTTTGTCCTCTCTGCTAGCCTCATCTCCCTCTTTCTCTTCTTCCCAGAGGTACCTTTACAGTCCGTGTCTTTACTTTTGTGTTACATGCTTATATATTCACAAACCAACATATAATAATGATTGCGTGATTTAAAACCTTAAATAGTAGATCTTGTGTGTGTGCGTGTGCGCGTGCGCTACAACCTACTTAATCACTCTGGAAAATGTTCCCAAATGTTGGTCCAAGTAGCTAGAGTTCGTTTATTTTAACTACAGTATTTTATTTCATTGATTAAGCATAGCATAACTTAGATATTCTCCTCTTGACATAGCATAATGAACAGAATGACTGTCTTCATCTGGGTGGGTTTCTCTGGGGTGAAGTATGCTAACTGGCCTTGCTGGATCATAGTGCATACACAGTTTCAACCAACTAAATATTAGCAGTGGTTCTCCCAAGTATTTGAACCAATTTTCTTCTCTGTCAACAAGATACAGGAATTCCTGTTTATTCACAGTCTTGCCAATACTTCATATTACTAAACTCTTATTCTAGCCTTATCTGATGAATGTGAAATGATAATTGTGTTTTAATAGAGATAGGCCATGTGGTTTGTGGATATTCACTAGTTGATGTTTACTAGTTAAAGGTGAATGTTGTTTCCAGGTTTTGGCTATTATAAATAAAGCCGCTAGAGGCCAGGTATGATAGCTCACAGTTGTAATCCCAGCACTTTGGGAGGCTGAGGTGGGAGAATCTCTTGAGCTCAGGAGTTTGAGACCAGCCTGGGCAACATAGCGAGACCTCATCTCTACAAAAACAATGACAATAAAAAATAATTAGCTGAGTATGGCAGTACACATCTGTAGTTCTCTCTACTTATGAGGCTGAGGTGGGAGGATTGCTTGAGCTCAGGAGTTTGATGCTGCAATGAGCTATGAGCCTGCCACTGTAATCCTGCCTACGTGACAGAGAGAGACCCTGTGTCTAAAAATAAAAATAGCTGATATGGTGACTCACGCCTGTAATCCCAGTGATCTGGAGGTCAAGGCGGGAGGTTTGCTTGAGCCCGGGCAAGAGCCTGAGCAACATGACGAAACCTCATCTCTACAAAAATTAGAAAAATTAGCCAGGTGTGGTAGCGCACACCTATAGTCCCATCTACTTGGGAGGCTGAGATGGGAGGATCACTTGAGCCCGGGAGGTTGAGGCTGCAGTGAGCCGTGATTGTACTACGGCACTCCAGTCTGGGTAGCAGAGTGAGACCTTGTCTCAAAATAAATAAATACAAATAAAAAATAAAGCCATTATTAACATTTATGTACATGTTCTTGTCTGAACGTAAGGTTTCATTCAGCCATAGATGCCCAGGAGTAGTATTGCTGGGTCTTATGGAAACTTATGTTTAACTTGATAAGAAATGACCAAATGGTTTTTCCAAAGTAGTTGTACCATTTTGCATACCCACCCAAGAGTATGAGAGTTCCAGTAACTTGTCAGCACTTGGTATTGTCTGTTTTTGTTCTAGCCATTTTAATAGGTATGTCATACACCATTTTTTTTTTTTTTTGAGACAGAGTTTTGCTCTTGTTGCCCAGGCTGGAGTGCAATGGCACAATCTTGGCTCACTGCAACCTCTGCCTCCTGGGTTCAAGTGATTCTCCTGCCTCAGCCTCCTGAGTAGCTGGGATTACAGGCATGTGCTACCATGCCCAGCTAATTTTTTTTTTTTTTGTATTTTTAGTAGAGACGGGTTTCTCTGTGTTGGTCAGGCTGATCTTGAACTCCTGACCTCAGGTGATCTGCCCACCTCGGCCTCCCAAAGTGCTAGGATTACAGGCATGAGCCACCACACCTGGCCCTTTCATACAGCTTTTTAATCCAAAGAATGAAACTTAAAAATCAAATTGTATTTTAAAGTTATTTAAAGTAATTGATTTTTGCCCTTCTTGCTCTTGGATGATCTTTTTTTCTTTCTCTTTAATTCAAAATCAGAGCATTGTGTTAGGGTAACCAAATAGTAAAGAGATGGTATAGTACAGCGTAACATTTGCAGCTACTCAGCCAGGCGCGGTGGCTCACACCTATAATCCCAGCAATTTGGGAGGCCGAGGCAGGTCGATTGCTTGAGCTCAGGAGTTTGAGACCAACCTTGGCATCATGGTGAAACCTCATCTCTACCAAAAATACAAAAATTAGCCAGTCTCATAACCCGGTCTCAAAAAAAAAAGATAAATAAACATTTGCAGCTACTGCTAGAAAATTAGATAAATGTATTTTGTTGCTAAGAAATACATAGAATTTTTCATTTACTAGTTGGACTATTTTATTTCTGGAAAATGTATGTTAAAACTTTATAGTGAAGAATGTTAAACCTCCATTTTAATGATGCCATCCACCTACTGGTGTGATTTCTCCCCCTCCCCTCTAGGCTTTAAATAAGATTTAATCTGAGAATACTCATTCCAGTACTAAAAAGAGAAGTGCAGAAACTACAGGAGTAGGGCAGCAATCTTATTTTACAGAGGCATTTTCGGCTCACTGGTTAATGACTTTCCTGCACATACTGCACCATGCATGGTCTCCAGTGAGGGGCACGGATGCCAGTGCAGTGATGCTTTACCACTAACCCTTCTACTGCAGCCTGCTAACTAGGACACACTGTAATGTGAGTCTTGAGCTGGAAGGGTGCAGACAGTCTTCACAGTGGATTTGCTTTGAGAGTTGGATGAAGTGTTTTTACTTCATTGCTGGAATTGTGGTATGTGCTTGTCAGCACACATTCTGAATCATGGCTTGAGATTATGGTTGAGTGGCCAGGTTTTGAGTGGCCAGGCTTTAAGTGTCTGCCAAAGAAGCCAATTTAATAAGTTTTTTTTTTTTTTTTTTGAGATGGAGTCTCACTCTGTTGCCCAGGCTGGAGTGCAGTGGGACGATCTTGGCTCACTGCAACTTCTGCATTCCGGTTTCAGGGGATTCTCCTGCCTCAGCCTCCCGAGTAGCTGGGATTACAGGCGCCCACCACCATGTCTGGCTAATTTTTGTATTTTTAGTAGAGATGGGGTTTCACCATGTTGGCCAGGCTGGTCTTGAACTCCTGACCTCAGGTAATCTGCCCGCCTTGGCCTCCCAAAGTGCTGGGATTACAGGTGTGAGCCACTGCGCTCAGCCTGTTGGGTTTTTTTTCTTTTCTTTTTTTTTTTTTTTGAGGTTATAGTTTTAGCTGCTCTGACATGCTGGGATAAGACCATCAAAGTTTTTTCCTCACATAATCTATCCCCCTCTTTAAAATTTCTAGAGTATTGATTCTTATTTTTAAAATTAATTTTTAGAGATAGTGTCGCTCTGTCATCCAGGCTTGAGTGCAGTGTCATGATCATAGTTCACTGAACGTTGAACTCCTAGGTTCAACCCATCCTCCTGCCTCAGCCTACTGAGTAGCTGGGATAACAGGCACACCTCACCATGCCCAGGTAATTAGAAAAAAAATTTTTTTGTACAGATGGGAGTCTTGCTGTGTTGTCCAGGATGGTCTCAAACTCCTATCCTCAAGTGACCCTCCTGACTCAAGCCCCCCAAAGCACTGGGATTATAAGCATAAGCCACTATGCTTGGCTTCTTAGAGTATTGATTCTTTTACATAGTCCAAGGTGGTTCCTGCAGCCAGTAAGAAGAGGGAAGGAGGCCGGGCGCAGTAACTCACGCCTGTAATCCCAGCACTTTGGGAGGCCAAGGTGGGTGGATCACCTGAGGTCAGGAGTTCGAGACCAGCCTGATTAACATGGAGAAACCCCGTCTCTACTAAAAATATAAAATTAGCCGGGCATGGTGGCACATGCCTGTAATCCCAGCTACTTGGGAGGCGGAGGCAGGAGAATCGCTTGAACCCAGAAGGCAGAGGTTGCAGTGAGCCAAGATCGCGCCATTGCACTCTAGCCTGGGCAACAAGAGTGAAACTCTGTCTCAGAAAAAAAAAAAAAAAAAAAAAAGAAGAGGGAAGGGAGAGGGGAGGGCATGCTTACTTTCACCCATATCCGTTGGCTAAGGCTGGCTGCATCTAGCTGCAAGGGAGCCTGGGAAATGTTGCCTCAGTTAATTTAGTTGGTTGTGTGCCCAACTTAAAACCAAGGATTTTATTAGTTGAATTACTAATCGAATGGCAGAGAAGGGCCCACAGAGATACCTGGTTGCCTCTGACACCTCTTAATGAAATATAAAAGTTGCTACAAGAGTAAGAACAGTCAGTAATTGGAAGCAAATTGAATATGAAATGAAAATGTGTTTTCATTTTGTCTACTTTTCTGTATGTTTGAAATTTTCCAGAAGAAGTTTTTAAAAATCTTACATTTAGGTTTCTTCTACCAAGTGCCATTAGATTTCGTAACACTAGAGGGTGCTGTTAATGCATTTGCTTTTAGCATTTCTAGCATCTGCCCCCTTGTCTTATTACAGAGTCAAAGTAGGTTTTGTCTAGCTGATAATCTTGAATCTCTTTTGTTGTTTTACTCAGTTTTACAACAGCAGGGGCACAGAAATGTCAATATCTAACATTTATCTGGAAAGACAGAAATGATGATTCCAAATGTGGAATTAAAAGAAAAACACATTTTAGATTTTATTCATAAAAGGAAAACAAATCAGAGATTATGTTAATCAGATTAGATATTTTCAAATGCAAAATTATTTCTGAAGAATTAAAAGTTTTTTTCTTGTATTTGTCCATATTTAGCATTTTAGTTGTTTTGCCCTATTTTCTGCCCTGAGTTTTCTAACCATACATACATACTAAGAATTGAGCTATTGATAATTTTTCCTCCTAATATAAGGAGAGGGATATAACTAAAATTTTAAGAATGCAGATAAACACAAAAAGAAACACCCGTAACCCCTATATTATAGAGATTACCACCATAAGCTGCTTGGTGCATAGCCATTTTTTTTTTTAAAGCTCAATCGCACATGTATATATACAGTACTTTTTTAAAAAAAAAAATTATTTTTCAGACAGAATCTCACATTGTTACCCAGGCTGGAGTACAGCGGCCCCATCTCTGTTCACTACAGCCTCGACCTCCACGCTCAAGCGATCCTCCCACCTCAACCCTTCAAGTAGCTAGGACTAAAGGCACTGCCCCCATACCCGGCTAATTTTTTTGTATTTTTTGTAGAGACAGGGCTTCACTATGTTTCCCAGGCTGGTCTCGAGCCCCTGAGGTCAAGTGTTACTCCTACCTTGGCCTCCCAAAGTGCTAGGATTACAGGCATGAGCCATCGCACCCAACCTATACGGTACTTTAAAGAGAGGGGAATCACGAGTTAGTGCTCATGTATGGGAATTTTTTGTATATTCATTTTATAACTTACTATCTTTCTGAAGTATCTTATTCTAGGGTGTGTGTGTGTGTGTGTGTGTGTGTGTGTGTGTGTGTGTGTTTTAACTCATTTTCTGGGTAGACAGATGCATTACCTATAAATAATTATTTTGCTTTCCCTTTTCCATTATTTGAGCTTTCAAATTCTTTTTTCTTCTTTTTAGAGATAGGGTCTTAACTCTGTTGCCCAGGCTGGATTGCAGAGATGTAGTCATTGTTCACTGCAGCCTCAAACTCATGGAGTCAAGCCAGTCCTCCTACCTCAGCCTTCCCAGTAGCTGGGACCACAGGCATGCACCACCATGTCCAGCTAATTAAAAAAATAATTTTTTTTTTAAATAGAGAGTAGGTCTTGTTACGTTGCCCTGGCTGGTCTTGAACTGGCCTGAAGTGATCCTTCTGGCCTCCCAAAACAATGAAATTACAGACCTGAGCCACCGTGCTCAAACAAAATCTTTTTCTTATTGTCCTGGCTAGAACTTCCGGAACAGTCTTCTATAATGGCACCCACCAGACTCCTGTTTCTGTCTTTAAAGGGCACCCCTCTGGGTGTCATTCAGGTTATGTATCTCATTGCCTTTGGTATGAGATCAGGGTTCTTTTCGAGGACTTTTTTCTTAACATGTGTAATGTGCTAAGAGTTTTATTCAAAAATTGACACTGAGTTTTATGCCTTTTTGGTTTCTTTCTTTCTTTCTTTCTTTTTTTTTTTTTTTTTTGTGATGGAGTCTTGCTCTGTCACCCAGGCTGGAGTGCAATGGCACAATCTCGGCTCAACTGCAACCTCCACCTCCTAGGTTCAAGCAATTCTCCTGCCTCAGCTTACCGAGTAGCTGGGACTACAGGCGCCCGCCACCACGCGTGGCTAATTGTTTGTATTTTTAGTAGAGACGGGATTTCACCATGTTGGCCAGGCTGGTCTCAAACTCCTTACCTCAGGTGATCCACCTGCCTTGGCCTCCTAAAGTGCTGGGATTACAGGCATGAGCCACTGCACCCAGCTGAAATGTTCCTTTTTTCATGGGGTTTGAAATTTTCCTTGTGGCATGATAGATGGTGACTTTTCATAAATGCTCTTTAGCCATTGAAAATGAAGCTATTTTCTATGGGGTGCAAAGTTTGATATCTATTATATTAGCCTTATTCATTTTATTGGTCAGATTCTGTGATCAATACAAAATAAAATTAATATGGACATGGGGCCTATGCTTGTATATCCTCCCTACCCCTATCTTCTTGGAGAGAGATATGTTTATGAAGTGTTGGTCATTTCTTCTCTATTTCTAGCCATTATGGGCTTTATTTCAGTGAAAGAATGTTCAGAATGTAAAGACTGACATCATATTCTTCTTGTGAATTTTATCCTTTAGCAATGTAAAATGACATCCTTTCTCCTGCTTAATACTTTTTGGCATGAATTCCACTGTGTCTGACATTTAAAAAATAATAAGGCAGCATTAGTGTTACTTTTTTTCACTTTAAGGTCTATCTTGGGGGTTGGCATTTATTTTATTTTTATTTATCTATTTTTGAGACAGTCTCTGTCTGTCGCTGAGGCTGGTGTGCAGTGGCATAATCTCAGCTGACTGCAACCTCCGCCTCCTGCGTTTAAGTGATTCTCCTGTCTCAGCCTCCCGAGTAGCTAAAACTACAGGTGTGCGCCACCACACTCAGCTAATTTTTGTATTTTTAGTAGAGATGGGGTTTCATCATGTTGGCTAAGCTGGTCTTGAACTCCTGACCCCAAGTAATCTGCCCACCTCAGCCTCCCAAAGTGCTAAGATTACAGACGTGAGCCACTGCATCCGGCTGGCATTTATTTTTTGATGCAATCTGAGTATTTTTAATTAAATGGGTTTAACTCACAGGTCTAGCTGTGTTTTAGTCTGTATTCTGTTTCAAATTCTAATAGTGGTTTTAAGTGAAAAACATAAAAAAAAACCTCGTTTCTCTAATTGTCATAGTTAAGGCCTATGATTCTTTCTGTTTGGGAGAAGGGCTTTAGCATCTTCTTACTCTCTGTTTTCAGTCTTTATTAATGTAATCTTTTCTGTCTGCTTTATTTAATTACATTTCTTTTTTTATTTAATTTAATTTTATTATTATTATTTTTGTGATGGAGTCTTGCTGTGTTGCCAGGCTGGAGTGCAGTGGCGCTATCTTGGCTGACTGCAGTCTCCATCTCCCGGGTTCAAGTGATTGTACTGCCTCAGCCTCCTAAGTAGCTGGGAATACAGGCACGCATCACCACGCCTAGCTAATTTTTGTGTTTTTAGTAGAGACGGGGTTTCACCATGTTGGACAGGGTGGTCTGGATTTCTTGACCTTGTGATCCGCCTGCCTCGGCCTCCCAAAGTGCTGGGATTACAGGCATGAGTCACCGCGCCAGGCCTTTTTTTTTGAGTCTCGTTCTATCACCCAGGTTGGAGTGCAGTGGCACAATTTCGGCTCCCTGCAACCTTCGCCTCCCGGGTTCAAGCAATTCTCCTGCCTCAGCCTCCTGAGTAGCTGGGATTACAGGTACATGCCACCACGCCTGGCTAATTTTTGTATTTTTAGTAGAGATGGAGTTTCACCATGTTGATCAGGCTGGTCTTGAACTCCTGACCTCGTGATCCACCTGCCTTGGCCTCCCAAAGTGCTGCGATTACAGGTGTGAGCCACTGCGCCTGGCCTATTTAATTACATTTCTTATATAGCATATGTTTAGAGAGCAATGTGGCTTATGCATTGCGTTTTATAACCAGGTTTACACTCATTATTTAGCTTTGTCCCTATCTTGATGGTTTTAGCATCCATGCTTAGCAGTCTTGTATACTAGTTAGTGGCCTCTGTGAATTCCACTTCTATATTCCAACCTGGTTGGAATATAGCTTCAGGCTTTCTTTCCCTCCTTTTCTTTTGAGCTCATGCACATCTAAAACTATCTTGTTTGGCTTTCACACATGAAGGGCACCTTATCTGGGTATAAAATTCCTTGTTAAGACCTTTCCCTCAGTTTGTGTTTGTGTTATTGTCTTCTGACATTTAATACTGCTGTGGACAACCCAGGTGCTAAGCTTAATTCAAGCTAACACTTAAGCAAACCAAACATTTTCTCCTCCCTGGATGTGTCTACGATTCTTTCATCCTGTGGTTAAATTATTTTGCTAGGATGTGTCCAAGTATATGATTTTGCATGAACCTAGAATGCCCTTTTAGTCCCTTTACTCAGATTTTTCTTAATCTCAGAATAGTTTTTTAGTCTACATCTTTTATATTAGGTTATTGAAGTCTGCTCCATTTGTTCTTTTTTTTTTTTTTTTTTTTTTTTTGAGTCAGAGTCTTGCTCTGTCGCCCAGGCTGGAGTGTGGTGGTGCAATCTTCGCTCACTGCAACCTCTGCCTCCCAGGTTCAAGCGATTCTCCTGCCCTCAGCCTCACAAGTAGCTGGGATTACAGGCACGTGCCATCACACCCAGCTAATTTTTGTATGTTTAGTAGAGATGGGATTTCACTGTGTTGGCCAGGCTGGTCTCAAACTCCTGACCTTAGGTGATCGTCTGCCTCAGCCTCCCAAAGTGCTAGGATTACAGGTGTGAGCCACCACACCCGACCTCATTTGTTCTTTTTGAAAAAGTTTTATTGAGGTGTATTACACATCATGATAGTCATCATCTTAAAATATACAATTTAGTGGTTTTTAGTATACTGTTATTCACAAAGCTGTACAGCCATCACCACAATACAATTTTAGCACTTTTTTTCATCCTGCAGAGAATCCTAAAACCCATGAATAGTCACTCCCATCCCCACCCCAGCCCCAGGCAATCATCGATGAACTTTCTGCCTCTGGATTTGCCTACTCTGGATGTTTTGTGTAAATGGAATCATACAGCATAGCTGGCTTCATTGCCCCTTTTGTTTCTAAGTCTGCTTGAGAGGCACTGATGAGTCACAGCTTGGCCTTGTTCTTTGCTTTTTCCTGCCCAGCTCTGTCTCGGAATAGCCTTAGCCTTTCTGTAGTTTTCCTTGTCTCTCAGAGTTTCTCAGGTCTGTCACCCACCTCCGTTTCAGTCTTTTGTGATGCCATTTCTCTGGCTTACTTCTGAGTTAGTGCTGGTTCTTCATTTCCCTACTGTTCTTCCCCACCTCAGCGTCTTGTTTTTGATCCATTTTCTCCATATAATTGTCAATCTTGTTTCCTCTTTTAAAAAAATACCAACTTAAAAAATGTTTTTCTTCCTTTATTCCAACTGTGGGTTTTTGTTTTTGTTTTAAATTTTCTTTTGGCTCCTGCAACAAATCTTCTCTGATGTTAGAGTCTTCACAGCATGTCCTGAATACCGTTCTTGGCTCCCCTAGGCGTGTTGACCTGATGGGTTGGATGTGTCATGTGCGGACCTGTGTTCTGGGCGCTTGTGGTGGTGGGTCTCCTGCCCTGAGCAGTTGAAGCACCTGGCTCCCAACCTTCTCCCCAGTTTCTGCTAAGGTGTCACTTCTGGTCAGGTGGTGTCATCCTCTTATCCCACTGCTGAGCTCCTCAAAGTTTCTGTGAATGAGGAATACTTACAGCTGCTTTTCTCCAGGAATTGTCCTGGTTCTTTTTCTGTCTTTATCTCAGGGACTCCCATCTTCTAAGATGTCCCTTGCTGATGGTCGATGCCTCTTCTGCCTGGCTGTTTGTCATCTGAGCCTCGAGTTCCCTTTCTGGATTTGGGAAGGGCAGTCTGGTGTTAGGGAGATGGAGGCAGGTATTTGCATATTCCACAGGGCAGAGGGTGCCCACTGCCCAGGTTCCTGGTAGGCCCTGGCTTGGAGTCAGGACTGGGAAGGGCAAAGTCTGGCCACAGGTGTGACTTCTTTCCTAGTCCTGATGTCAGACTGTCAGTGTGCATGCATCACTTTTGTGTCTTCATGGGTACTTCCACTGTTCAGTAGGAATCAGTGGAGACCTGCCTGCTGGATGCCACGTTGAACTGGACCCCAGCAGTCAGCTCTCCAATGTGACAGTTACTTGTTGGCTTTGCCTACCTTTTAATGATGAACTCCTACCTTGAGATCTGAAATTTTTTGAGCTTTGAAAACAATTGTCTTTGGGCCCTGATTGGGGAAATGGAAACTTACCAGGTAGTAAAATTAATCTCCCTTTTCACTGAGCTGGAAGCAGCATGGGTGGACTTATTCATCTGAACTGAAGGGTTTACAAAGATAGGTTTTAATTTTCCTTCTTAGTGCAGGTTTGAGACGTATTCTCAGCAGCTGCTTGGTTTCTACAATAGACTATCCAGCCTGCCATGGAGAAACCTGCTACAGATTGATGTTAAGGAAACCATAATAGAGGCATGCAGTAACTGTTTGTAACCGGGTGGTGGCTGTTGTGTAACACAAATAGCATTTCTAATGAGGTGGTGCGGTTATACAATTTTGGCCAGCCTGTGTGGGTTATAAAAGCTGAAATTCCTTCAGCACCTGAGAGCGTCTCATGCTGAGTACCAGGACAATCGCAGGGTTGCACAGACACCGGCACAGAAGTGGTGGGTGACGCACTGATTAGAGGACATTTCTGTGGAAGGGTGGAGTTTCACTTTGAAGGTAAGGCCATTTGGCGGTTCTGCTTTGGGGAATGAGTTGTGAGGATATACAGATTGATTACTATCTGTTTGTGTCTGTGTGCATTTGGGTCTGCGTGTATCTGTTTCCATGTGAGTATCTGAGTGTTTGTATCTCTGGTGATGTTTCTGATTTTCTACATATATGTCTGTTTCTGTGTGTGTGCGCGCCTGTGTGTGTGTGACTGTGCCTGTGTAGGTGGGTGAGAAGTTCTCAGTTTTGCACAGCTGCATTACTAGAAAATCTCCAAAGGGTTTCTTAGTGCTGTCAGACATAATTTAAATATCAAAAACTGAACATTAACATTTATGCACTTCTTAGAAGGCACCGCCCTTAGGTATGTGAGAGAGAATAGCAATAAAAACTTCATCTGCAGCGAGTAAAATTTCTGTGTTTTTCAGGTGCTTATTTACTTTCCAGAGTAAATAAAGTAAAAACGATGTAAGTAAATTACTTATTTTCAGAGTCCAATCTAGTGCCAGGATTGCCAAAGCTCTGCTGTGTGTTCTTTTATGTTTTCCTTTTTTTTTTTTTTTTTTGAGATGGAGTCTCGCTCTGTCACCCAGGCTGGAGTGCAATGGTGCGATCTCGGCTCACTGCAATCTCCGCCTCCCAGGTTCAAGCAACTCTCCCGCCTCAGACTCCCAAATAGCTGGGATTACAGGTGCCTGCCACCACGCCTGGCTACTTTTTTTCTATTTTTAGTAGAGATGGGGTTTCACCATGTTGAGCAGGCTGGTCTCAAACTCCTGACCTCAGGTAATCCATCCGTCTTGGCCTCCCAAAGTGCAGGGGTTACATGTGTGAGCCACCGTGCCCAGCCTATGTTTTCCTTCTATGCAGAGTTTCAGAAGTCTGATGAAAAGTAAGTAAACAACCAAAAAGGAATATAAGTGAAACAAACTTCATGGAGAGCTAGAGTGTCTTATAGCTGAGTGCAGATATATTTTTAATTCTTTTAAGGTCTTTGGGTTATTAAAAAATGTCAGGTTCAGATACCAGAAAAAAGCAAGACATCTGTAGCATACAATTCTAAGTGATTGCAGTCTCTGTATTTAATGAATATAATTTTTAATGAATTGCTTAGGAAGAACACACTCCTGTGCAGGAAAAAGAGTGTATAACATACAGGCATGGAATATTTAAAGCCTCCCATTTATTGAAGATCAGGGAAAAGCTTTGCAATAATTTTGATCACCACGTATGTGGTGTTAACCTGGGGAAGAATTAGTGTCCCAGCCCCAGATAATTGCAGTGCAGTTTAGGCAAACCCACTCTTCAGCCCTTAGGTAATCTATTAGAGCAGGTGAATCCCTCAGAGCTCCCTTTTCCTTATCTTGGGAGAGTCTGCAGGGAAGAGGAACTCTTGGTATACTGGACTAGTGGGGAGCAGGGGGTATGGTGTGGTGGGGAGAAACAGTACTGCACAAGAGATTTGCAAATGGAATGTCTTCCAGATGAGACCGGGAAAGTGGTTGGTGTTGAGAGGACTGAATAAATGGGCCAAAGTCCAGCAAAACCAAGCAGGCGTAATTGGGTAGTTAGGAAATAGAGGCAAAGTGGAGCTGGATCTTTCTCTGCAGGTGAAAGAAGGAAATTTGGCTTTGGTCCTTGGAGAATGACATGGTCTGAAGAGCAGATCACAGAGAGGGCTGGTGAGTCCGTTGAGTTACTTGAGATGCTTCTCCCAGCACCTGAGCCTGCCTTCTCCCAGCAGGGGCAGCTCTGGCAACAGTAGCTGGAGGTGACCAAGTGCCCTACTGAGGCTTCCTCTTCAGGGACTGTGCTGGAAAGAGGATGGAGCAGGCATCCCAGACACAGTGGGACTGAATCAGCAGGGCACAGCCATCTCCTGGAAGTTATCCAGGCTCCCAAGATTTTTGTATTGGGTGAGCCAGGGGGAGCATCAAATGACAAAAGGCATCTGGAGACCTGGAAGAGAAGAAAGCATTCTTTCTATTCCCTGAAAGTAACTCACAAATTTTCCTCAGCTTCCTTCAGAATGACTTTTAGATATGACCTTCTCAGGCCTATTCTGGTCTTTTGGCCTTTTCTTCAGAGTCTCGTTCTCTTAGCTTGGAAGGTAACACGAACAACGTTTGTCTTCCAGAATGATTGTTGGACCCACAACATTGGCCCTGAGCTTTTTTGCAGAGATAAATCAACCTCTCTGTGCTCCAGTTTCTCATCTGTGAAATGGAGAGAATAACAACCCCTCCCAGAATTTTTATAAGGGCTAAGTGAAACCATGTTTGTGCCTGGGACTTGATAGTTCATTATGCACATGTTTTTATCTTGTTGTTAAAATTCCATATAAAATTAGCTTTTCAGTGGCTCCTGTGATGACTGATGATTAATACATTTTAAATAGTGTTGAAATAAAAAGCACCATGTGTGCAAAAAGTGATGTGTTAAATCACGTAGTAGAAATAAATGCAATAAAACTCATCTTTGTTCTGCTTTAGTTTGCTAAAATGTACATTCAGATTTTAATTTTGTCATGCAGGCTGCACTTTTTGCTATACTGCCCCTCCCTTTCCCCTTTCACGTCCCAGCCACAAGATTTCCCTGAACGAGTCAGGGATTTCCCCAAGTATTTGAATGCCTTTTATGCATTGGACACTGTGTCCCTGCTGCCATCTCATTCTGGTGGGGAGCGGACAGGAAGCTGGGAACCATGGAAACACAGAAGACGGACAGCTGACCCAGGAGTGCTCCCTGGAGGAGGAGGTCTCTTGAGCCCAGACCTGGGAACTCTGGAGGTCAGCGTGGGCAGTGTGGGCAGCACCTGGCACTGAGGAGAAATGGCCAGGATGACGAGGCTTAAGATGGTCTTGTTATAATTTTATTTAAATAAAGTTTTGGAAAGAAAACTTCTGCTGAAAGATACCAGGTACAGTAGGCGCTGTAGCATCTGTTTGCTATAGCATTAGGTTAGAAAAAGAAAGACTGCGGATGACTTTGTATCTTAAACCCCCAAACAAACAAAGCATACACCACTCTGACATTTTACTTTCTCAGACTCCATCGCTCTTCTGAACAAGCAGGCAAATGAGTTATCGTCTTGTCACCTAGATACCATGACCATCACCTTTCATGGCTCATGCATAATTCGATGGCAGCAAAATGACGTGTCTCAGGCTGGACTCAGGAGCTTTTTTAGGATTTAGTGTTGCATTTGGGACTAGAGCTTGTCTGTACCAGAGCTTCTGGGACTAAGTCTTTGGGCTGGACTGAAGGGATCTTCTGTAGGCAGAGCCCATTCTTCAACATCTTGTTTCATTCTGTCAGTTGTGCATTTTACTTTATGTGCCATAAACTATTTGCTGTCAGTTAGGAATGATCCTCCCCACCCAACTCACCCCATGGATGTTTCAGGAAAATTTCCCACGTTTATCCAGTGGCATCGCATCCTCTCTGGCCCACTGGTGAGGACCTGAGAACCCATTTTTAGATTATTTCTAACTAGTACAGTGTTTGCCCAGGGACCCTTTTTTTCTACAGTCAGAGCAGGGTTGCTACTGTCAGGACCCCTCTTGGGGCCCTGGGAGTGGCCTCTAAGGGATCATTACTCCTGGGGCTCGCTACAGATGGAAACTGGTTTCTGAGATGGAACTTGGCAGTGGTACCTATGTTCCCTCTCAGAAATCCAGGTTTTATCTGGCTTCCTTTAAAACATTTCCAACTCTTAAAAGAATTAAGTCCACAAACTGAGACAGTGACAGAAGGCTGAGATGGCACATTAGGGTGCAAAGGAGATTCCTTCCATTGCAGTCATTGGGGGTAGTTTGGTTTAGGGCTCTGGTAGATTATTGTAATTAATTATAAGGCCACCCTGGTGCTGCAATTCTGGGTACCCCCTCCATCATTGTGGCAGGGGAATATGATGATATTTTGTCATCAGTGCCATCATCTTATACCGCTTTCTCACTTTGGCACAATATTTCTATGGGCATGTTAGTTTAAGGTCAGTAAATAATCTGATTTAAGTCGGGCACTTGGAACATGCCTTTCATGTCAGTGTGCAGAGTTTTTCCATCAGTGACTTGCAGACTCTTTTCCCCTGACCCACAGCATGAAGCATTTTACCTTGACACTCTCGGTTACCCCTGTCTTTTGAGATATGCTCTGAAGTTTTTTGTTCTGTCAAATGCCATTGTTTTAAAAATTCTGGTCAAGATCCACTAATTTAATTTCATGACCTACTAGTAGGTACTGACTTGCGGTTTGAAAAATGAGCGCTGGCTAGGCATGGTGGCTCATGCCTGTGATCCCAGCACTTTGAGAGGCTGAGGCGGGAGGATTGCTTGAGCTCAGGAGTTCGAGACCAGCCTGGGCAACAAGTAGACCCTGTCTCTACAAAAAATACAAACATTTGCTGGGCATAGTGGCGCATGCCTGTGGTCACAGCTACTCAGGAGGCTGAGGTGGGAGGTTGCAGTGAGCTGCGATTGCTTGACTGTACTCCAACCTGGGTGCCAGAGCCAGACTGTGTCTCAAAAAAGACAAACAAACAAACAAACAAACAAACAAGATCAAGAGTTCCTGCAGTGTTTTGGAGAAGACTGCAGGATGATTGTTATTTTTTTTTTAAATTCAGTCACATGCTGTGAGCATACTTGTCATCACAAGATCAAATAATCACCACTGCTTACAAGTTCATTCGTTGCTGCTTGGAGCTTTAAATGGAATAATTATAGCTAGGATCAGCATCAGAATTGCAAACTCCCTGAAGTCGGACTCTGTGTATTAGGTAACCAGTTAAGTCATTTCATTCAAAGGAAGTTGATCATATACAAGTTGAAGATTTTTTTTTTTTTTTTTTGAGAATTCAGAGCGTTTCATTCAAAACTAGCCCTCACCACACCTACAAGTTGAGGGCATATGTTCCAACAGTCTTTTCTGACTTGAATTAAAAGCATTTAGGTCAAATGTTAGCATTTAACAGAACTTAATGGAGCAGCCACAGTTTGATTATAATCCCCTTAATGGGATTTAAGCAAAGAGCCATGGATTGGCTTTTGAAATGTGCTTCATCATTGAACCTAGCCGGCCCTGAAAGCTCTTGTGTCTTAGTGAGAACCAAAGTAGCACTTGGCAGGCTGAGGTTTTGAGTGTCCTTATCCCAGAGGGCACTCCTTCTTAGTCATATTCTTCCCCTGTCTGGATTGGTTTAAAGAAGTGCAGACAATAGCTTTTTCCCAGCCAAGATTGCCTATCCCAAGGTGTGGGTGATCTGAGGACCTCTAGCATGAGAATATTTGTGCATTTGTTAAAAATACAGGTTCCTGGCCGGGTGCGGTGGCTCATGCCTGTAATCCCAGCACTTTGGGAGGCCAAGGCAGGTGGATCACGAGGTCAGGAGTTCAAGACCAGCCTGGCCAAGATGGTGAAACCCTGTCTCTACTAAAAATACAAAAATTAGCCGGGTGTGGTGGGGCACACCTGTAATCCCAGCTGCTTGGGAGGCTGAGGCAGAGAGTTGTTTGAACCCGGGAGGTGGAGGTTGCAGTGAGCTGAGACTGCACCACTGCACTCCAGCCTGGGCGACGGAGCAAGACTCCATCTCAACAAACAAACAAACAAAAATACAGGTTCCCAAGCCCCCAAGGTAGGTCTATAGGATTAGAATATGAGGAGGGGACATTTTTAAAATTGGTGGGATTACAGGGTTTTTTAATTCTTTTAGTCTTCTAAAGTCAATTTTATTGCGATAGTGTTTACATAGAGCAAGTGGATATACATCCAAATGGAGCCACCAGAATCACAGTCAAAACAGTAGATTTCTATCATTCCAAAGGTTCCATCCTTTCCCTGGGGAGCCCTTTCCTCCATTCTTGCCCTAGGTAACCACTCTCCGCTTCCCGTAGAATGGTTTGTCTTTTGAGAATCAGACTGCATGTCTCGTGTCTGGCTGCTTTAACGAAATGTCTGTGCAGCTCCCTTGTGCTGTCGGGCACGTCAGCAGACGCTCTCTGGTTTGTTGCTAACTAGCATGCCTTTTGATGGACCCACCATGATTTGCTTACCCGTCCACCTCTTGATGGCTCTTTGGATGTTTCTAGTTTGGGGCTGTTATAAATAAAACAGTGTCAAATTTTTGTCTTACATGTATTTGTGTGAAAGAAATCTGTCTTTTTTTTTTTTTTTTTGAGACAGAGTCTGACTCTGTTGCCTGGGCTGGAGTGTAGTCGTGCAGTCTCAGCTCACTGCAACCTTTACCTTCTGGACTCAAGCCATCCTCCCACCTCAGTCTCCTAAATAACTGGGACTACAGGCGGATACCACCATGCCTGGCTAATTTTTCTGTTTTTTTTTTTTGGTAGAAATGGGGTTTCGTCACGTTGCCCAGGCTGGTCTTGAACTCCTGGGCTCAAGCGATCCGCCTGCCTCAGCCTCCCAAAGTGCTGGGATTGCAGGTGTGATCCACCGTGCCTGGCCCAGAAGTGTATATTTTAAATAAGCTTCCCATGTGAGTCTTAAGCACATGAGCCACTGATTCTTATTCTGGCTCTTCCTCTCTCTCGTATCCTTTTGGAGAAGTGTGGGTTTTTGTCTAGAGCAAATGATGGATTTGCCATGGATTTATATTTCTGATATAGTATTTATTCAGTGCCGTCTACTTGGAGTAAATGTAAATTTCATTAGCATTTATGGAACATCTATCTTCTCCACACCGCCCCACCCCCCGCCCTGTGTACTTCCTTGTAAAGAGCATCTGTCTATTCTGTACTAGGAGCTGGGAATATAAAGATGAATTTTATGTTTTATTTTTTGTAGAGTCAGAGTCTCGCTATGTTGCTCAGGCTGATCTCGAACTCTTGGCCTCAAGCAATCTTCCCAACTAGGCCTCCCAAAGCGTTGGGAGTCACTGTGCCCAGCCTTAAAGATGAATTTTACATAGGGGGATTCTACTCTTTGGGCAGACTATTAGTGATTAATTCATTCAGCCATTGGAGGGTTTCTGTGTTACCTGCTCACTCTGCTAGGTGCTGATCATGAAAGGACAGGTTTTTCTTAGGATTTGGTGGTTCTTTCGAGAAACACAGAAGGTTTTGGTATTTAACTCCACGAATAGCTCAGCTCTGAAAACTTCTGGACAGTGCCATCACATTTCTCCTTCAGGTGGCCCTGCTAAGCCACAGTGAGAGGGGTGACTCTGTTTCCTGGACAGGGAGAGATGGTCGGATAAAATGAAGTTCAAAAGAAATCATTACAGGCTGAATAGCTGATGAAACAAGTACTGATTAAAAGCTTCTGCATTTGTGCGTGATTGTTGGTGGGTGGAGAGCTAGTGATTCAGTCCTTAGGGAATTGGAAGATTTGTTACACGTCTAAATATTTTATTTTACTTTTCTACTTCCTCATAACAGAATTTTCCAGATGGCTGATTTTTTTTATCTGTCAGGTTTACATTTATTTCCAGGCGACTTTTTTTTTTTTTTTTTTTTTGAGACTGTAGCGATTTCCTGCTTCCTTTAAGGTAGTGATTTTTAACTTTGGCTGCAGGGAGCTTTAAGAAATCTAGATACCAAGTATAATTTGTAGCACCTTGGCTTTTCTCCACTCTCTTCTGAAACCCAAAGTTATTTTAGAACTTTAAACATGAGGACATTATTCCGCACTGCTGTATCCTGAGCTCACAGCAGAAAGGACTGAATTGATTTGCTTGCATTACATTGTAAAGGGGGTAGATGCTGTAAGGGGAACCAGCCTTTCCCCTGGACTTGAGTCTGAGGAGTAAGGAAGAACTGGTGCTAATGTGGACACCATGAGGCTCTTAGGGGTGAAATTGGGCCCATCTTTTGTAGTTAAGTTAGTTTAGAAAATATAGAGGAGTAAAAACAGGAAAATAAGTCATTTGTGTTTCTATCACTCAACATTTTGGTTAACATTTTGGTGTGTGTATACATGGCCACATACTTTACACATACACAGTGGGTTAATGCTGTACATACTATCTTTTTCATTATATATATTGCTTTTAATTCTTTTCACTTATGAAATAACTTTTTTCACTCAAAACTAGTATCTTCTACCATTCTTTTTATTTTTTTATTTTTATTATGATAAGAACATTTAACACGAGATCTACCTTATTAACAACTTTTTTTTTTTTTTCCTCGAGACAGAGTCTCACCCTGTCACCCAGACTGGAGTGCCGTGGTGGGATCTTGGCTTACTGCAACCTCTGCCTCCTGGGTTCAAGTGTGTCTCCTATCTCAGCCTACCAAGTGGCTGGGATTACAGGCATGCTCCACCACGCCTGGCTATTTTTTATATTTTTAGTAGAGATGGGTTTCACCATGTTGGCCAGGCTGGTTTCGAACTCCTGACCTCAGGTAATCTGCCCACCTTGGCCTCCCAAAGTGCTAGGATTACAGGCCCAGCCGACAACTTTTTGAGTGTACAATATGGTATTGTTTTGTTTTCTGGCTAATTTAAAAAAATTTCATTTTTTGTAGAGATGGAATCTTACTATGTTGCCCAGGCTGATCTTGAACTCTTGGCCTCAAGCAATCGTCCCACTCTTAGCCTCCCAGAGTACTAAGATTATAGGCGTGCATGAGCCACCATGCCTGACCGACGTATTGTTAATTATAGGCACAGTGTGGTCCAGCAGATCTCTAGAATTTGCTCATGTTGTGTAACTGAAACTTTTTTTTTTTTTGAGACAGAGTCTTGCTCTGTCGCCCAGGCTGGAGTGTAGTGGTGCAATCTCGGCTTACTGCAACCTCCGCCTCCTGGGTTCAAGTGATTCTTGTGCCTCAGCCTCCTAAGTAGTTGGGCTTATAGGCGTGCACCACCACGCTGAGCTAACTTTTGTATTTTTGGTAGAGACGGGTTTTCACCATGTTGGCCAGGCTGGTCTTGAACTCCCGACCTCAGGCAGTCCTCCTGCCTTGGCCTCCCGAAGTGCTGGGATTACAGGCGTGAGCCACCGTACCTGGCAACCTAAAACCTTTAACCTGTTGAAGTCAGTTCTCCATTGACCGCCCCCCCAAGTCCCTGGAATCCACCATCCTACTCTGCTTCTGCATTTGACTATTTTAGACGCCTCACGTAAGTGGAATCATGCAGTATTTGTCCTTCTGTGACTGGCTTGTTTCACTTTATGGAAAGATGTTCACCCTGTGTTATGTAAAAAGGCAAGTTAAAAAATAACACATATATAACAGGGTAAACATCTTTCCATGTCAATAAATATTTCTGTGCTTTCTTAACAATGTTAAAATGTAGACGTTAGGTCTTACTTTTTCTGGATTTTGTTACTTGGTGGTAACCAATTGTCTTGGCATGTATAGTTGGTTTTATGATTTGAAGTGCTGCCATATCATATGTACATCAGTTTTTGGGTTTTTTTTTTAATGACTAATAGTTACTTTGTTTTCATACTTGTTGAACTTCTGTTTATTACAACTTTACATTAGGGTTCTTATCTCACTGACCACACTCCTCCTATTTCTCAAATATTTGTGGCTATCCTTGCTTATTATTATTGTTGTTATTTTGAGATGGGGTCTCACTCTGCCACCCAGGCTGTAGTGAAGCGGCATGATCTTGGCTCACTGCAAACTCTACCTCCCAGGCTCAAGTGATCCATCTCAGCCTCCCGAGTTGCTGAGACCACAGGTGCATGCCACCACACCCAGCTAATTTTTTGTATTTTTGGTAGAGATAGGGTTTTGCCATGTTACCCAGGCTGGTCTCAAACTCCAGAGCTCAGGTGATCCACCTGCTTCCACCTCCCAAAACTGTTGGGATTAGAGGCATGAGCCACCATGCCTGGCCCTTGCTTATTCTTCTAGAGGATTTTTTAGCAAGCTCCTCTGACCTGTTGGGGGGGTATTAATGGATTTTTATTAAATCTGTGTAGATTATGTTAATTGGAAAATGAATATTCTTACAGTACCTTTCCTATCGAAGAGTATCCTCTGTTTCTTTGGTTTTTCAAATCCTTTTTATGTCCCTCAGTAATATTTTATCGTTTTCTTCATAAAGGTCACACATATTTTTATTTAATTTATCCTTAAGTATTTAACGTTATTCTTGCCATGGTGAGCAGGATTCCTTTATCCTATTATTGTCAGGCATGGGCAAACCTTTCTATAAATGTCTTTGGCTTTAGGGGCCAGGTGATCTCAGTCACATGTTCTTCTTTGCTGTTGTTCACAATCCTTTAAACATGTAAAAACCATTTTTAGCAGGGACCTTAACAGAAACAGGCCAGATGGTGGCTAGCTAGCTGCTGATACAGATGCTTGTCGCTGGCATTTGGGAAATGTTTGATTCAATCACATCGAAAGAGGCTTGCTCATGTGTTTTGTAACTCGCTATGTAATTGTAGGTTCTCTGAGATTTTTCATATCTTTTGATGTAGTTATAATTTGGACTTTTCTAATACTTCCCTCATCTTTCTTGGTCGGTGTACATTGATGGTGGTGACGTTGACACCCCCGACTTGTTCCTGACATCTGTTGTGTCACAGATAGGTTTGATGTAGTAAGATTATTAAACAAAACCACTCTTACATTATACCACATGCCTTAAAAAAATCATTTATCAGTCCACAAACGTTGGAGAACCTTTAATATATGTGCCAAGTTCAGCACCAGGGGTGGAGGTAAGATGGTGAGGCTGTGATACTGTTTCTTTCTGTTTCCCACAGCTCTCTGGCTAGGCAGACAGATAGACATGATCTTGCTTTGTTACAATCATCTTTTAAAATTTTACCTTAATTTTTTTTTGTACAGATGGGGTCTTGCTATCTTGCCCAGGTTGTTCTCAAAGTCCTGGCCTCAAGCAGTCCTTCTGCCTGGGTCTCCCAAAGTGTTGGGATTACAGATGTGAGCCATCACACTCAGCCCTCCACATGGTCCTCTGACATCATGATGAGGTGGTGATCAGAGGAAGTATTGATGGGAGTCACCCCAGTGAGAAGGGGTGAGATGAAGGGGGCTTATTTTGGAGGGATGGCATGAGCAGGGTCCTGAGAGATAGGAGAGGCCTGTGAGTAACCACAGTAGGGGCCATGAGGGACTGGGAAAGGGGGCCTGGATAGGCCCCATAGTCACCTCTTGTGAAGGAATTTGGGTGTCACTCTAAATTAGGAAGCCATCAAAGAGCATGGTAATTTTCTGTTGAAGCATCATGCTACTTACCATTTGGACAAGTGTTTAGAGCCATCAAGATGGAATGAGGGGCCCGGCATGGTGGCTCACGCCTGTAATCCCAGCATTGGGAGGCCAAGGTGGGCGGATCACCTGAGGTCGGGAGTTCGAGACCAGCCTGACTGGCCAACATCTACTAAAAATACGAAATTAGCTGGGCATGGTGGCGCATGCCTGTAATCCCAGCTACTCGAGACGCTGAGGCAGGAGAATTGCTTGAACCTGGGAGGTGGAGGTTGTGGTGAGCCGAGATCGCACCATTGCACTCCAGCCTGGGGAACAAGAGTGAAACTCTGTCTCAAAAAAAAAAAAAAAAAAAAAGATGGAATGAGTCTGGATTACAGGTGCAGTGGCTCATGCCTGTAATCCCTGCACTTTGGGAGGCTGAGGCAGGAGATTGCTTGAGCTCAGGAGCTCAAGACCACCCTGGGCAACATTGTGAAACCTCATCTCTACAAAAACTAGCCAGGTGTGGCACATGCCTGTAGTCCTAGCTACTCAGGAGGCTGAGGTGGGAGGATCACCTGAGCCTGGGAAGTCAAGGCTGCAGTGAACTGTGATCGCGCCACTGCACTCCAGCTTGGGCAACAGAGTGAGATCCTATCTCAAAAAAAAAAAAAAAAAAGATGGAATGAGAACACGAGTTAAGTGGCTGTTGTGATGTTGATGAGAGACCATGGTGATGTGTGCTAGGGAGCAGCCATGCAGGTGAATAGAAGTGCATATGTTAGAGAGTTCCTAGTCCAAGGAGGGTGGGTATCAGCCCTGGAAAAGGAGCTTGAAGGTGATTCCTGCCCCTCAGTGCCCCCTCAAAAATCACAAGGAGGGCAAAATCACCAGCAAGTCTCACAGAGGCAGTGTGTATAGGCCAGCTGGCCTGGGCTGTGTTTGTCCAGGGAAAACAGCTGTAAGCTGAGCATTTAAAGGGCAGTTTTATGTCTTGTATAAACAGTGTAATGGCAGGTTCAGATTACTGATTCAAGTTTGAATCCTGTTCTACTGCCTATAGCTGTGTATACTTTGGCAAGTTATTTGACTTCTCTGAAGCTCAGTTTCTACTTTTGTAGAGTTTGTGTGCAAACCAAGTAATATTATGCTTACTGGCCAGAAATAACTGTCATTTATTTAATAAGAGGTCAGAGAAGTGCCTGGCACACACCGACACTTAGCAACTGGAAAATTGCAGTTATTACTGCCATTGTCGCCATCATGATCTTCTATCCCTCTGCTCCTCCTTCCCCACTGTCATGTATTAAGGCCAAGACAGCGAGTGGATTTGCTCATTCTCTTTCTCTCTTTTGCAAAGGGTAGGAAAAGGGGCAATGAGGGACCACGGGTTGGCACACACACTTTCCCCAGTGTCAAATTCCCGGGGAGATTTTGCTTCTTGTTTTAATACAGAAGTTAAACTCCACTCTTCCCTCACCTCTCCCCTTTTATCTGTTGCATTTTGCCGCTGGACCTTGGCATTTATACACACCACGCTCATCCTGTGTGGATAAACCCTCTGATCTCGGGTTGTCGCATACTTTCTGACCTTGAGAGTGTCTGCATCATCCTTGTGCACCGGGGTGTGGAATGCTCTGTCCTTTTGGGCTTTTTATGGCGTGTCCAAGGACACATTTCTTTGCTCACCCCTTCTTCGTTCTTCCTCCATGTACTGTCCCTGATGAAAGGTGCTCCCCTCTTCCTGAGCCCTGCAGTCCTCTTCCCTGACGCCTTTCTCAGAACATCACTGCTCTGCGCTGTATGAGTCTCATCCTCTCCTGTGCTCTTTCAGGTCTAAGGCTTCAGGATACTCCAGGCACTACTCTGGAAGAGGTGGGTGAAGTGCATTAGTGGTTCCCCCACTGTAGCTTATGAGGTTAAATTAAATGCGTGGTGGAGAAATGGAGCACAGTTACTTGCTGGAAGGTATTCTTGTCGGGATGGAACTGTGTGTTCCTAGCGCTGGGGACGGTGGGGAGGGGTTTGCTGCTGCAGTGGATGTTCATGTCTGGAACACCAAGATGAACTTAACCTAGGAGAGTAAATTTATTCTGCTTTAAAAAGTCCCATCAGTTTCCTTAGCCAGGCATGGTGACTTGCACCTGTAGTCCCAGCTACGTGGGAGGCTGAGGCAGGATGATCGCTTGAGGCCAGGATTTTGAGACCAGCCTGGGCAACATAATGAGACCCCCTCTCTTTAAGAAAAAAAGTCCCATCATTTTCCCTAAAGTTGATATAGATAAGGGTGATTTGAAAGCTCTGCTGACATGCTAGATGTGGGACAAAGAGCTTATTGGTCCCTTGGAATGTGACTATATGGCATGTGGCCATGTAAAAATCTACCAGTATTTCACTATCCTATTTGCCCGTTTTATTTTCTGAAAAAATAAACTTCTGGTGGTCTCAAGGCAGAGGTCCACTGTGGCTCCTTCAGGCAGATTTTATTTTTAGGTATGTTTATTTTCACTCTGGGTTTTTTGCAGATTTTGGGAAGATGATGGGTGGCAGTGGCTAACTCACAATGTAGAAGGCTGATGGATTTGGCTACACAAACATGATGACAACTCTGGCAGCTCAAAAGGTCATCCCCCAAATTCATAAACAAAAAGCGGGGATAAAATGTTTGCATCAAATACAACAAAGATGTAAAGGATTAATATCCTTAAAATGAAGCTCTGTAAACATTATAGAAAATAGGCGAAGGACATAAGGGGATAAGCCACAAAAGAGGCTCTGTGGTTGCCAGCAGACATGAAAAACTCATGAACCAAGGCATGGCAACATATCTGAAAAATTACCCACTTGCACAGATTTTTTCTACATAGATATAGATATATATTTTTTTTAACTTTAATTTTAATTTTTTTTTGAGATGGAGTCTCGCTCTGTCGCCCAGGCTGGAGTGCAGTGGTATGATCTCGGCTCACTGCAAGCTCCACCTCCCAGGTTCACGCCATTCTCCTGCCTCAGCCTCCCCAGTAGCTGGGACTACAGGCGCCCGCCACCACGCCCGGCTAATTTTTTTGTATTTTTAGTTGAGATGGGATTTCACCATGTTAGCCAGGATGGTCTCGATCTCCTGACCTCGTGATCCGCCTGCCTTGGCCTCCCAAAGTGCTGGGATTACAGGCGTGAACCACTGCGCCCGGCCTGCACAGATTTTATATATTAAGGGCTATCAGACTTTGCAGTGTTGTAGTGATCCCTGCGGTAGAGTTTCATATCCTTATTAAACAGCAGAGTTGTGATGAATGAATTAGGACCTGTAAGTGGCGGGGGCTGTGGCAGGGTGGTGGGACCCCTGAGGTGGTCTGGATGTGGCATTTTAGGCTCTGCATTCATTTCTCTCTGGATGCTGTAAACATCACTTTTTCCTCCAGTTTTTACTGTTAATGATAAGAAGTCTGATGTTAATATTATCTTTCCTTTGTCAGTAAGCTGCTTGTGTTGGTATGGTTTCTTTTTTTTTTTTTTTTTTTTTGAGACGGAGTCTCGCTCTGTCGCCCAGGCTGGAGTGCAGTGGCGCGATCTCGGCTCACTGCAAACTCCGCCTCCTGGGTTCACGCCATTCTCCTGCCTCAGCCTCCCAAATAGCTGGGACTACAGGTGCCCGCCACCACGCCCAGCTAATTTTTTGTATATTTAGTAGAGACAGGGCTTCACTGTGTTAGCCAGGATGGTCTCAATCTCCTGACCTTGTGATCTGCCCACCTCCACCTCCCAAAGTGCTGGGATTACAGGCATGAGCCACTGTGCCCAGCCTTGGTTTTTTTCTGACAAGAAGTTTCAAGATTTTTTTTTTTTTTAGACAGAGTCTCACTCTTTTGCCCAGGCTGGAGTACAATGGCGCAATCTTGGCTCACTGCAACGTCCGGCTCCCAGGTTCGAGTGATCCTCCTGCCTCAGCTTCCCGAGTAGCTGGGATTACAGGCGCCTGCCACCACGCCTGGCTAATTTTTGTATTTTTTAGTAGAGACGGGGTTTCACCGTGCTGGCCAGGCTGGTCTTGAACTCCTGACCTCAGGTGATCCACCCACCTCAGCCTCTCAAACTGCTGGGATTACAGGCGTGAGCTACCACACCTGGCCAGAAAATTCTTTTTATAATGACCAAGCTGGAGTAAGTCCCATAGACGTGCTTCTGTGTGGGCTTTGCTGTCTCTGCTATATGCATGTTCCGAGTGTATCCCTTGGAGGACCTGATCTTGTCCTTAGGATTAACATGGCACATCTGGGATGCCATCCTTGGGAGGAGGGAAGTGTCTTTAAATGAAGATTTCTCAATCTCAGCCCTCCTGAAATCTTGGTGTGGGATCTGTCCTGTGCATTGAAGGATGTTCAGCAGCACACCTGGCCTCTATTTACTAGATGTTAATAGCTCTCCCCGAGTTGTGATGGCCAAAGACATCTCCAGACATTGCCAGATGTCCCCTGCAGGGCAAAATTACTCTGGATTGAGAACCACTGCTTTAAATGAATGTGGATAGTACGTGAATGAAAATGCAAATGTGCATGAATATGCAAACAAGAACGACCACCCCGGAAGAATTTGATGTGTGTACCTAGCTCTCCGTATTCCACTCATGGAACTTCACGTTCTGGCAGCAGTTTCTTTGTTTTCCTTTTTGGCCTTCTGATTTCTGAACTCTAAAATTTGTGTAATTCTTTCTCTTTTTTATTTCTTTACATTTTGTTTTTCCCCTGGCTCATCCAAAGTGTTTATTGAATGAAGTGTCCCATGAAGAGTTCCTCAAACAGCAAGTTCTGTACTTGTATTTCCAAACTTATTGCAGTCCTGTCCTCACATTTGCAGGGCAGCTTGGTTGGATTCTTTATTCCTAGTGGGAAGATAATTGGTGGTAAGATCTGATGTCACCCTAATTGGAGTACCAGGGGATGCACTCTGCCCTTCCCACCCTTACCTGTTTGCATTATCTTTTTCTTTATAAAAATTCAGGCATAGCTAGGCATATTTCATTGTATGTATGCCATTCCTTGGAGGGATCCTCTGTGCCCTCTCATTTTTTTTTTCTTTTGAGACTGAATTTCACTTACTCTATCATCCGGGCTAGAGTGCAGTGATGCGATCTTGGCTCACTGCAACCTCCGCCTTCCAGGTTCAAGTGATTCTCCTGCCTCAGCCTCCTGAGTAGCTGGGATTACAGGCGTGCACCACCACTCCTGGCTGATTTTTGTATTATTATTATTTTTTTTTTTAGTAGAGACGGGGTTTCACTATGTTGGCCAGGCTGGTCTCAAACTCCTGACCTCAAGTGATCCACCTATCTCCCAAAATCTTAGCTTCCCAAAGTGCTGGGAGTATAGGTATGAGCCACTGCGCCTGGCAACCTCCTCTTTTTACTGCTTTTGAGTATCTTCCCCTGCTTTTAATTGGGCACATGTAGGGAATGTAGAATTATTTTAATGCCCATCTAATCATGATTAATTGGCTGTATCCGCATTGCCCAGTATAGTAGCCACAAGCTACAAGTATCTTAAATTTCTATTTAAATTAGATACAATTAAAATTCAGTTACTCATTTGCACTAAGCACATTTCAGGTTCTCAGTAGCCACATGACTCTGTTGGATAGGACAGATATATAACATCTCCCTCATTGCAGAAAGTTCTATTAGGTAGTGCTGGGTTATGAGATATAAACCATATGCATATCAAAGAAGTACCTTAGCTATTTTTTTTCTCCCTAGTATTGTGATATTTTTGATAGTTTGGTTTAGTGGTCCCCCTCTCTAGTGGGCAATTCAGAATCAGTAGGTGACTATAAATAAAGAAGGTGTTGGGTGCCTGAAAACTGTAATTAGGTAAAGTATTTTTTGGATGCTTGGGTATAATGTGTAGTGTGACTTTTTTACTGTGCAAGAAACTCAGTGACTGCATGGCCTGTGTTGTTTTCATGCTTTGGGGTGATTTGGCTGTGCTCTTCTTTTCTAGGTGCTAAGAGATGCCGTTTGCAGGCCTCATCTCTGCTTGAGAATCGGGGGCTCCAGGCACTAGAAGAGCCGGCTGATCCTGGGCTCCTAGCTTGAATAAGCCTTCACTTCCAGCTGCTCTCCCCAACGGCTGTGTAAACTACTCGTTTCTCTTAATGATGGGTATTGGTAAGAATACCACATCCAAATCAATGGAGGCTGGAAGTTCAACAGAAGGCAAATACGAAGACGAGGCAAAGCACCCAGCTTTCTTCACTCTTCCGGTAATCATATTCCCCATCTTCCTTTCTTAAATCTCTTGAAAGTAGTTTCCGTATGGAATCAACATAGGATTGGCTTTAATGCTCATGTTTTCAGTGAAGGTTAAGGCATTTGCAAACCAAATACTTTATATGTGAGATAGTCTTTGGGCTAACTCTTGGGTTTTAGCTGTGCTCTCAGCCTGGAGTCATCTGCTGGGATTAACTCCAGGAAGGAAGTATGCATTGCTGTTAACATTTTAAATCTAGCCCAGTGCTTACTGTGTCCTGGAGGATGTTGAAGACTTAATTTTATCTTCAAAAGGTGTACTCTTAGGAAATAATGTGCAACCCAACATCACACTCATATTGCAAGCTGGGAGGATGAATGACTTACTGCTTGGAACCCCACTGTCCATATGTATTATGGCAGCAGTGTCCAGCGTAGAGGTAGTTTTATCCAAATAAGTGATAGCAGTCAGATAAGGCTGATTACACACATTCATTTATATTCAGTAAGAACATTTTTTTCCCAGATGTAGGACGATGACTTGATTTGTATAAAGTTACCTATAATGTGTTGGTTTAAAAACAGAAAAATGCTCTTTAGAGAGGTCTTGCCTCAAGATGTTTTCCTCTTAATACTGGAGATGTGGTTAATGGCAAGAATAGTATTCTAGGATTTTTTTCTTTCCTTTTTTCTTTTTTTTGAGACAAGGCCTCGCTCTGTTGCCCAGGCTGGAGTGCAGTGGCACCCTTAAAGCTCACTGCAGCCTTGACTTCCCAGGCTTGAACTATCTTCCCATCTCAGTCTCCCGAGTAGCTGGGACTATAGGTGTGTGCAGCCTGTAGTCTACCACAGCTGGCTAATTTTTTCTACTTTTTGTAGAGATGGGGTCTCACTGTGTTGCGTAGTCTGGTCTTGAACTCCAGGGCTCAAGTGATGCTCTCGCCTCAGCCTCCTAAAGCACTGGGATTATAAGCATGAGCCACCACACCTGGTTTCAAGATTAGTTATTATTATCAATGTTGCATCTGAAACTGTTGGCATGCCCCATAGCCTGATGATAAAGAGACTCAACAGTAAGACATTTGAGGGTAGATGGATCTACAGAGGTGTCAGTATTATTTTTTAAGACTGGGTCTCACTGTGTCACCCGAGTTGGAATGCAGTGGCACAATTAAGACTCACTGTAGCCTTGACCTCCTGGGCTCAGGCAGTCCTCCCACCACAGCCTCCCAAGTAGCTGGGATCACAGATGCCTGCCACCATGCTCAGCTAATATTTTTTATTACTTTTGTAGAGACAGGGTCTCCTTATGTTGCCCAGGCTGGTTTTGAACTTGAGAGCTTGAGCTCAAGCAATCCTCCGGCCTTGGAGGATTCTTTTTTTTTTTTTTTTTTTTTTTTCTTAAAAAAATAACAGTTATTTTAAGAAAAATATATTTTAAGAAAAAAATAAAAGTTATTTTAAGAAAATAACTTTTCTTAAAAAAAAAAAAATAGACTGAGTCTCACTCTTGCCTATGCTGGAGGGCAGTCGTACAATCATAATGGAGCTTTGAATTCCAGGGCTCAAGCCAACTGACTTAGACTCTTGAGTAGTTGGTATTATGGATGCATGCCACCAACCCTAACTTGAACATGGCATCTTTTTTTTTTGAGACCGTCTTGCTCTGTCACCCATGCTGGAGTGCAGTGGCACCATCTTGGCTCACTGCAACCTCTGCCTCCCAAGTTCAAGCGATTCTCCCGCCTCAGCCTCCCGAGTAGCTGGGACTACAGGCATGTGCCACCACGCCCAGCTAATTTTTGTATTTTTAGTAGAGATGGGGTTTTGCCATATTGGCCAGGCTGGTCTCGAACTCCTGACCTCAGGTGATCCACCTGCCTTGGCCTCCCAAAATGCTGGGATTACAGGTGTGAGCCACTGTGCCCAGCTGAACATGGCATTTTTTAAGTACATTGATTGACTGCTTTCGTTCACACTTTATTCGTTTATTTTTTTAAATTGTATTAATTCTCAGAGAGCTGTTTAACTAATTTTACAACTGGCATTACCATTTTCTTTTTTCCTATAATGAAAAATTTTGAAACTGGATTTTCTTCACTGTTGAAAGCTTAAGGTTGACACAGATTTTCTAGGGGAAGAGGCATCAGTCCAGTTGTTCAAGATTAAATTAGATGAACTTGAAGAGTGAATGGGAAGGTTTCATGCATGGGGGTTGCCTCATCTCTTTGGTGGCTTTATTTTATCTTACAGCCCAGGAGATGATTCACTCTCACTTCCCTTCACTTTCGGGACAAGAACTTGAACATGTCTCAACCACCTGCCTTGTCATTATGGTCCAGAATTTAAGATTTACTTATTCTAGGTTAAACTTGTAGTATTTTATCGTTAGCAGTTGAATTCATCATTGTATGTTGTCAGCTTCCTCATTCCTTGTTATTTTTTGCGTTCTTCTTCTTCCCTCTTAGTTTGCTTTTCATTTAAGATACACTGATGGTCTGTGGATGGTCACCATCTTAGTCTTTCTACATCTGGAAATAATTGTAGTTTGCCCTCCACTATTACACAGACTTCTGTGAATGATACGGCCCAGCCTTCCAGCCTGTCCTCATTTCTCTTTAGCTGCTTTCTCTAATGATTTGGGTATCCTCTTCCAGCACTGCCTTCTGGATGAGTCCTTCAGTATTTTCCGGTTTACTTATTTTTTGTATACAGTCATGTATTTGTGTTGAATTCTTATTGCAATAATTATACTTCTTCTAAAATTTTTATTTGGTTAACTTCTGCCTATTTTTGGTCCTTAATTTCTTATATATATGTGTTTCTTTTAAATGTGACTTCATTTAAATCATTGGGAACCCTGATATACTATATGAAGTCCCTCCCTAGTTCTCTTTCCATCTGGAATCTTCCAGGAATTTCATCTCTTTCTCTGTGCTTCTGTGGGGTTTGTGTCTTCTCATTATGGATCCAGTCCAGAGGCAGACCCTAGGGTGGAGCCCTCGTTGTCTTCCCCAGGGTTGCCAACCATGGCATGGAAGAGTGGGGAAGCCTGCCTGGCCTGGTTCAGCCCCCACCTTGTTCCCCTGCTGGAGCCGAGGCTGCCTGGCTTAGGGCTTCCAGGCTCAGCCCAGCAGGTCCCAGTGTCAGCCCCATTTTTTTCCATAAGTGTTTTTTTTTTCTTTTTCTTTTCTTTTTTTTTTTACACAGGGTCTCATTCTGTTGCCCAGGCTGGAGTGCAGTGGAGCAATCACAGCTCACTGCAGTCTCGACCTCCTTGGCTCAGGTGATCCTCCCACCTCAGCCTCCTGAGTAGTTAGGACTGCAGGTACGTGCTACTGGGCCTGGCTACATTTTTGTGTATATATATATTTTTTAAATTTAGAGATGGCATTTCTGCATGTTGCCAGGCTAGTCTGGAACTCCTGAGATCAAGTGACCCACCTGTCTCAGCCTCCCAAAGTGTTGGGATTACAGGCGTGAGCCACCGTGCCCAGCCCATACATGTTTCTTGCGTACGGAAATGTTTGTCTTTTTAAGCTTGCCTATTTTGAGGTTTTTCCCTCTATCCCTGTTACATTTTTTAGGGCAGGGTTGGGAAGGAATACTGCTCACAGCATTAATTTCCAGATCCAACCTAAGTAGGAGTCCCTGTGAGAGCATGGGAGCTGGGAATGTGGACGTAAGCCATAGTTGGGTGTAAATATGATGTTAATTATAAAGTTGATTTAACAGTAGAGCCATTTAATTAAGGATGTTATGGAATTTTTATCCCAGTCTAGGGCTATAAAAGGAAGCCTTAAAAGGGGAAGAAAATAGTTTTTAAAATTATGCTAAATTGAACTACAAAGAGTAGGAATAGAGCTGGAATCATGGGATGGAGCTGCTGGGAGGGGAGAAATGCCAAGGATAGAGATGGCAGAGAGTCCAAACATGAGCTCCCAGGATGATTTGGTGTCAGGGATGCCAAGATGAACCTTAGTCTGAACTCCCAAAGCTCAAGATAAAGTAGATTACATAAAAGAAGGAAAACACGAAAACAAAACCTCATCAAAGAATGTTTACAAAGGAATAGTTTGTGGGATGGAGTTTTGGGTTGTGGATAGTTTTGTTAGAAAACATGTTATAGGCTGGGTGCGGATGCTCAGGCCTGTAATCTCAGCACTCTGGGAGGCCAAGGTGGGAGGATCACTTGCAGCCAGGAGTTCAAGACCAGCCATGGCAACATAGCGAGACCCTCATTCATACCAAAAATTTAAAAATTAGCTGGACGTGGTGGTGCATGCCTGTAGTCCTACCTACTTGGGAGACTGAGATGGGAGGATTCTTTGAGCCCAGAGGTTTGAGGCTGCAGTGAGTTAGCAGTTGTGTCATTGCATGCCATCCTTGGTGACAGAGCAAGACCCTGTCTCCAAAATATATATAAAATAAGAACAGGAACACAGTACTGCCCGTATTTAATCACTAGTGAAATTGCTACCCTAAGTCAACTTTTAAAGTAGAAGACCATTTTGAATGATTTGCCCATTGACAGGGAAAAAGTGAGGGGACTAAGTTACAGTGGGTCGCTTCCCATTGCCTGATGGATGGGATTAGTGTGGGGGCAGCTGGTTGGAGGCAGGGGCAGTGGGGTAGCACAGGAAGAATTGGTGGGTCTGGGAGATACCAAAGGCATGGGAATAGTAAGAACAGAGGTGAGGCTGATAGAAGAGGTGATAGGAGGTTTTGAGGGCCAAAGAAGGAGATGTTTCGGATTCTCATCAAGATTTTATACAGAAGAACCTGATTGGGTATATGTTGGCTTTGGAGAAAATATGAAGTCTAGGGAAAACCATAAGTTTGGAGGGTGGGGAAGATGGAAGATGATGGGTTTTATTTGAGAAGTTGTGGATTTGAACTGCGGTGCTCCTAGAGCCTGCAGGCAGTGGGGGTGTGGGACTTGACACACATAGAGATCAGGAGAGCTGTAAAGACTCACTGTGATGGCTCATGTGGGTGGTGACTGACCCGTGTGAGAGGGTGCTGCTGGCAGGCAGAGCTGGCAGAGGAAGATAGGGTTGAGGGTCTCACCGTTGGGTATACCCACACATGAGTGACAGGGAGGATCATGCCAGGACATTGCTGCATGCTAGTGCCTTGTTTCATTCTGGCCTTTGCAAATGTAAATATTGAAGAATAGCCAGCATGGCAGCTCTGGGTTTTATCTTTTTGTCTGGATCTGTACTGTCCAGCATCATGGCTGCTAGTCACATGTGACGTTTACATTTAAATTAAATACTATTCAATAAAACCTGAAATTCACTTCGTTAGTTGCACTCGTCAAGTACTCCATAGCCACACGTGGCTAGTGGCTAGCCCATCTCTGCTTGCTGGTTAGGGCCTTGCGAGGCTGAAATGTTGGCTCTTATTTTCTCATTTGCCTCAGAATCCAAAGCTGGGCTTTAGGCTGTCAGCTGTTAAGGCATCTAGAGAAAGGTGTGCTGGAGTGCAGCGTGGTTGGGCACCAGTAACCAAATCTGGCCGTTGCTGAGAACCAGGCTTGTGGGGTGTCTCCTGGAAAGGGAGGTGGGGTGTGTGGCTGATAAGGATCTTATCTTTAGAGATTCTCTTAGGCATCCTGTGTTGGATGAGTGCTTCCCAGATCTTTAAACAAAATAAAACAAAACACCCACACAAACATTTTACAAAGAAAAAGAACAAATCCATACTTAGAAGTAGAATGTCCACTAGGTCAAAGTAAGAACAAGAGATGTGCCAGGCCCCAGGACTCATGGAAATTAGATCATGTGGTCAGAGTTGATATCAAATAGGGGGAACATAGCAAAAGATCTTCTTCTTATCCCACAGGACTCTAGTTAGGCAAATTCTTATGTTTTAAAGCCAGCTAGGAAATGCGTAAATAGGGGTGAATGCCCATGGCAAGAAACAGGAATCAGGAAAAAAAAAAAAAAAAAAAAAGCAAAAAAAATTCTGATGAACGATCGTACCCTAGGGACATTGATCCCAAAGTACAGACAGGAAGCACGGCCAGAAAAAGGCTGTGTGTTTGCTCAGCAGTTCTTGGACCACCTAAACCTGGAAGCCCAGTTAACAGCCCAAACTTCCTGTTGGCACAGGCACGGCTGTGACACACACAGCCTGTTGTTTCAGTGCGTCATCATTCAGAGTCAGGGAAAGCGTTTAAGCTTCCTTAAGCTTTTATTTCTTTTAACAGCCTTTGTGAGAATATTTGGGTATCAAGAGTAGATTATTCTGTCTGGAGATATTAGCGGCATGGACCGACGAGTAACTTTATGAGGTTTAGTCTTACCAGAGAGTGGGAGAAATACTCCTGGGTGTTCATAAGAACCGACCACTTCTCATCTTACCTTGGTGTGTGTTCTTCAGAACATGTAATGGGAAGAGCCCACAGCCTCACGTTCCTCCATTGATTAAATGTGTCTGGTGCACATACCTGGTAACCAGCTGCTTACAGCCCAGTGGGGGACATATGGCAAGACAGCCAGCATACCATCAGTGTTAGGGTTTGAATTCTGCACGGGTGCTGTGATAGTGTCCACGTGAGACCCTTGCCCAGTCGTGTTGTAGGGTGGGCCTTGCCGGTCAGATGAAGGTTCCCAGGGGAGATAACATGGAACTCCTAAAAAATGTCTAGGTATAGTAGGTCAAGAGGAGGGAGACTGAAGGCCTCTCAGCTGAGGGTGTGCATGGCAGTGTCCTGCTTGGGGCGCAAGTTTAGTGCAGAGTACAGTGGAGGTGGAGATGAGCAGCAGGGATGCTGAGGAGAGGTCATAGTAAATTTGCTCGTTTTGGGGTAGGAAATTCCTGCGGTGGGTGCCGGGGCAGGAAGGGTCTGGAGATAGGAAGGCAAGTTAGGGTGCTTACGCAGTCCAGGTGTGAGCCGACAGTGACCTGACCTGGAAAGTGCGGAGGAAAGGAATTCTTCCATTCAGCAGATGGTTATTGGGCACCTGCTTTGCGTGAGGCTCTGTCCTGGAATTGGCCTCCTAGTGATGGTGGGAGGAGAAAAACAGTAAAGAAACAAGCAAATACGTCAATCTTGTGGCAGCTGGTCACTAATTCTGTGAAGAAAAATAAATCAGGGAGGGGAATAGTGAGAAATAGAATGTGAGGTCAGACAGTGATCATACAGGACCTGCAAGCCATTCATTAATTTGTCCTTTTAAAAATAGGAACTGTGTGCCACTCACAGGTCTGGGCTCTAGAGAACAGCAATGAACAGACAGACAAAAATCCATGAGTTTCCATCCTTTTTTTTTTTTTTTTTGACAGAGTCTTGCTCTATCATTCAGGCTGAAGTGCAGTGTCATCATCATGGCTCACTGCAGCCTCAACCTCCTGGGTTTAAGCCATCCTCCCACCTCAGCCTCCTGAGTAGCTGAAATATGGCACATGCCACTGTGCTCAGCTGATTTTTAATTTTTTTTTTTTGTAGAGACAAGGTCTTAACTATGTCACTGATCTCAAACTCCTGAGCTCAAGCAATCCTTCTGCCTCAGCCTCCCAAAGTGCTGGGATTACAGGTGGGAGCCACTTTGCCTGGCCACAGGGCTTTCATTCTGGTGTGGGAGACAGGCAATCCACAATAGAAATAAGTCAAATGTGTAGATGTTAGATATTGACAAACACTAGGGAAAAAAATAAGGTAGAGGTATGGATGCTGAAAATTCAGGCGGCCAGGAAAGGCTGCACCAAGAAGGCGGCCTTTGAGTAAAGTCCTGGAGGAGTTGTGGGAAGCCTGCATGTGGGCCTCAAGGGCAAAGGCCCCACAGCAGGGGGGTGCCTGGTGTTGCTCCACCAGGATGGGCATTGACCAGAGATTCCATAGGTCTTGTGGGCCTCACCAGGGTGTTGGCCTGAAAAAAACCTTTGGAGGCCTTTGAGCAGAGATGTGACATGCTCTGCCTAGTGGGGAGTAGGCTGAAAGGAAAAGCAGGAGGCCAGGCAGGAGCTGGTGGCCCTAGGACAGGTGTGCTGACAGCAGCTGCATCCTGGGTGCTTGCCATGTGGAGGTGGGAGAAGCCACCAGGCTCTGGAGCAGACCTAGTTTCTGTGCTTTTGGGCTGGATGAGGGTGGGGGCAAGTCCCTTCAGAAAGAGACACCCATTCCAGGCGTTGAAAAGTATGTCAGGAGAAACTCTGACTCCAGAGGGAGGACGGGGAGGAGCCACAGTGGAGGAAGGGTTGGCTGGAGGTGTGGCCGAGAGCTTTGAAAAGAAGGGGCAAGTTGCTGTCCTGGAAGAGACTCCTGGAAGGAGCTTCAGGAGGAGACCTGGGGCCTGTGGGGCTGTGTCCTGATGGGTGTGCCTAGCAGGCAGGAGGTGAGCAGGACAGAGTGGCGATGCGGCTCAGAGCTGTGCTGTGCAAGGATGCAGGGATGTGAGGATGCCCCAGAGCGGAGGGGAGGAGGGCAGCCACCAGGATCAGGGACCCATGCTCCTTTCTTTCCTTTTCTGTTTCCTTCCCATCCCTTCTTTAAGACAAGTGGCCTTGGCAGAAAGATGTAGGGAGGTACAGTGAAGAAACCATTTAATGGCTGCTTCAGTTCCTCTAAACCCCTGACTATGTGATGACAGATTTGAACATGCCCCTTTTCAGCAGTGAAAAGAAGGCAAAAAGGCTTTTTGGTGCAACTACCTTCATTCTAAAAACCAAGCAAAGAAGCCCAGAACATGTCCTTGTTCTTGTGACTTTCGTACCAGGTGCTGTGAAGTTCCTTTTTGTACATCCCTAAATAGAGAGTTTGGAGTACTTAGATCTTAAAACGAAAAGTCTCAGTTGGATGGTAATAATAGTTGTCTGGGAAAATGTTCTTTCTGTAAGAATAATAGATTTTGGAATTGACTATGATTCCAAGAAGGGCCTGAGGATGAAGAGAGACTGTTTCCTGGAGTCGGCCCAGGGAATTGGTTTAATTCTCCTATTTCTGTAAGATGAGAGTTTTAATATACTGCATAATGGCCATGATTTAGGCAGGGGATGCCCTTAACAGCTTGAAGTGGAACAACCAAGATGAGCACCCTTTTCTGTTTTAAAATTTGTAAGTTGGGGGGAAAAAGTGTTAGAAAAGGAATATGCCAATATATGCTTTGAAATGAAAACATCAAAACGATGGGATGCAAGTGAAGATTTTTGTGCATGGTAAGATGTTCTTTTCCTTATCCATCCTCCCTCCCTCCCTCCCTCCCTCCCTGCCTCCCTCCCTTCAAGATGGGGTCTCGCTACATTGCCCAGGCTGGTCTCGAACTCCTGGGCTCAAGCAGTCTTCCCACCTTGGCCTCCCAAAGTGCTGGGATTACAGGCATAAGCCACCACACCCAGTCCTAGATTTTTAACTTAAAAATTAATTTTTTTTCCTCTGGTTTTGAGGTTTCAGATAAGTTTATCATATTGCAATATACTTTTAATTTGAACAGAGTTTTGGTAGTTTTAAATGAAATGAGAGATGTTAGTAATACAAAGTACACATCTAATAGTTGGGAGACACACAATTTGTTACGAATGAAAATAGTAAGAGGTTCTTGCTACAGTCTCTTACTATAGCAGGCTTACGAAGTTGATCAGCATTCTGGCCATCTCTTACTTGTGTGTGTGTGTGTGTGTGCTTTTTTTTTTTTAAAGACACGGTCTTGCTGTCACCCAGGCTGGAGTGCAGTGGCGTGATCTTGGCTCACTGCAGCCTCTGCCTCCCGGGTTCAAGCAGTTCTTGTGCCTCAGCCTCCCAAGTAGCTAGCTGGGACTACAGGCATGCACGACCATGCCCAGCTAATTTTCGTATTTTTTGGTAGAGACTGGATTTTACCATGTTGGCCAGGATGGTCTCAAACTTCTGACCTCAAGTGATCCTCCTGCCTCGGCCTCCCAAAGTGCTGGGATAAAGGCGTGAGCCACTGTGCCCGGCCTCTCACCTCTTAATTTCTGTGAGGTCAGGTTTATGGAATCTTGGTCATGGAAAAGGCCTTAGAGGACCTCTTGTTTGTTCTGCTCTTGCTAAATGCTGTGACAGGAATGCATCAGAAGTAGTTGACAAGCTTCCTTCCTTTCCTACCCCATGTGATCCCCCTGCCTTCATCCTGCTGTCTCCGCTTTCTGTGGGTCAGCATCAGTTCTTCCTGGGATCATCGTGACAACCTCTGTGTGATCTCCCTGCCCCACAGCCTTGGTCTCTTCTGACCCCTGATTGCTATTCCTGCCTGTGCCTTTTGCACTTCCAGGACTACTTCAGATTTCCTTTCTTCTAGGTGAATCCCCACTTCTAAATTCCTAATCCCCACCCCCACTAACTTTTATTTGCCTAAGCTAGGTAGGCAGGCTTCTTAGTTTTAATGATTAGAGATAAAATATTTCAGATTGATTTCTTTACCATAATCTAAGCCCATAATTCTATTGGAGAAAAAGTTCATTCTTGCTAGGATTTGATAAAGTACTTGAGGAGGAAGATATGATATTGGAGGTTTCGAGGCAGTAATCACTCAGTTGTCACATTCCCCACCCTCTTAAATTGCCCTTAAAATGGATGTTTTTAAGCATCCATAGTTCTCCCTAGGTTTTACGGTACAAACTACATTGTTGGGGTGAAATGGAAGAAGCAAGAATGCTGATATGTTCTTCTGCCTCTTTTTTGTAGTTCTCATATGTGTATTTTCTGTCCCTTTTTCATTATTTGTGTAACTTTCTTCATTTACAAGAGAAATAAGTTCACTGCAGAAAATGCAGAATGGTAAAATGAGGAAAACAAATAATTTAAAATCTCACTAGCCAGAAAAACACCACTTTCTGTTATTTTGGTAGTAACAGAAAATATTTTACTGATATTTTGGGTGTATTTCTTTTTTTTTTTTTTTTGGTTGTGATTGTTGTTTGAGACAGGGTCTCACTCTGTCACCCAGGCTGGAGTGCAGTGACATGATCATAGCTTCCTGCAGCCTTGACCTCCTGGGCTCAAGTGATCCTCCCACTTCAGCCTCTTGGGTAGCTGGGACTACAGGCATGCACCACCACGCCCAGCTAGTTGTTATTGTTGTTTTTAGTAGGAATGGGGTTTTGCCATGTTGCCTAGGCTGGTCTCGAATTTCTGAGCTCAAGTGATTGGTCTCCCAAAGTGCTGAGATTACAGGCATGAGCCACTGTGCCCAGCCTTGATGTATTTCTTTCCAGAGATTTAAGACAAGTATTTGAGTGTTCTTTTATAAAATTCTCATCAACACACAATCTGCTTTATGAAGACTTTAACTTTGTATCATATCGTGGCATCTCAATGTTATTAGAAACAGAACTTGTAATTGTGACATATAGCAAATCATGGATCTAACTTTTCCACTTGCATTGGGACTTTGGATTGTTTCTAATGCTTTGCTATAATAAATAACAGCCTAGTTTATATTGACCTTATTGTATCTGATTGCTTTAATTTTGAGTTTCAGTGAAGCCAAACACTTCTGCCAGCATTCCTTGGCCATTTATATTCTTTCATTGTGCCTATTCTTCTCCCTAGCCCCTTTATTCCTGCGGAGTAATACTGGTGATCAAAGATACTGCATCATACAGAACAATTACAGAGAAGATCCCTGGATCTGATAGCACTTTGAGGGAATAGAGGGAGAACCAGCCGCACCACCAGCCAGATCTGTGCCTGTCATTACTGATAGCCCTAGGATAGGGGGATGTTTACTCTGTCTCTGTTTAGGGGGAGCAGTTTTTGTTGTAGAAGGAAGTGTCTGTATCTACAGATCTGTGTCTGTAGCTCCGTTCTTGCTCTTTTCACTTTCTGATATACAGATGATGTTCTGTATACCTGTGTCAGTGTATAAGGATTATCTTCATTGTTTTTTATAACTGCAAAGTGATCCATGGTATAGATACACCATAATTTATTTAATTACTGCAGATAGACATCTAGACTGTTTCTAATGTTTTGCTATTACAAATAGCACTACCCTGAATAACCTGGCACATAAGTTGTTTCACTCAGGTGTAATTGAAGGATAGATTTCCAAGAGTGAGATTTTTGAGTCAGAGGGGATGTGCCTTGGTAAGCTGAGGGGGCTACTCACCAAATTGCCCTCTGTTGAGGAATTTCGTCAGCAATGTGTAAATGCCTGTTTTCTTGCATGCTTGGCAGCAGAATATGTGGTCAGACTGGGCTCTTGTCCCGATTAGTAGGTAGAAAGAGGTTTCTCATTATAGTTTGGTGGAGTCTCGTTCTGTTGCCCAGGCTGGAGTGCAGTGTCATGTTCTCGGCTCATTGCAACCTCTGCCTCCCAGGTTCAAGCAATTCTCCTGCCTCAGTCTCCCAAGTAGCTAGGATTACAGGCGCGAGCCTCCATGCCCAGCTAACTTTTGTATTTTTAGTGGAGATGGGGTTTCACCATGTTGGCCAGGCTGGTCTCGAACTCCTGACCTCAAGTGATCCACCCGTCTTGGCCTCCCAGAGTGCTGGGATTACAGGCGTGAGCCACCGCACCCGGCCTCTCATCATAGTTTTAATGTATATCTTCTTATGAGTAAGGTTGAGCATCTTTTTACTGTTCAAGAAGCATGTTTATTTCCTTAGTTATTTTCCTGTTGGGATGTTAGCCCTTTTCTTGTTGGGTTTGTGTCCCTTCCATATTTACATTTTAGAGACATGGGTTTGTTATCTGTAATGTGTTAGCACCTGGAAAGAATGGGAGAGGACGGTCCGTTTTGGGTGGAGTGCTGTAATGTGCTGCGTGGCCTCAGGATCTGTTCTTGAATCCATCTGGGGACAGGATCCCCAGGGACATCTCTTAGAAACCTCACCTAGCAGGGAAGATGTTTGAAGTGCCCAACCTAGTGCCAGGCATGAATATGTGCCAGGCAGACAGTAGCAGTCACCAGCACCACCTGCCTGGGGTGTGGGAGGAGCACACACTGCAGAGTGTTTCAGTGTGGACCTTGGCAGACACATCACCCGCCCGAGCTCTGCTGTGGGCCGGCATGGGGAGAGGTAAGGCTCCTTCTGGCTCCTCTTGTCGCCCTACTGGGGGACAGGTGAGATGCAGCTGGAATCCCCGGGGTGCTTCTGGCTGCCACAGCCTTAGCCTTCTGGAGAAGGCAGCCCTAAGAAGACCAGGCTGGGCCAGGCGAGTGGTGGAGGCTGAGCCATCCAGCAGCATCACCTGCACTGGGGAGTTACAGGAGCCATCCTGTGGGAAGAGGCAGTGAAAGCAAAATTAGAGGCTTTGCGGCATCAGCCAGATTCAAGGTCGCTAGTGTCATGTTAGATCTATCGGCTGCTGCATCTTTTTGAGATGATGTAATCTAGATTGACAAGCTTTGGGTGTTTAGAATATGTTGTACTGTACTCACTTGAATTTATTTTTCATAGTGGTTAATTTTGAAATTTCTAATAATATTGAAAGTAGGTGGAAAGTTTTCATGTTCATAGTAAAGGAGCTTGCAGTAAAGGCTGGGAAACACGAATCTATTATCTTCTGTATTCAAAACACATTTTAATTGTGGAGTAGATTTGGATACAAGAGGAAATAACGGTGTGTGCACACATTGAGGAGGGGGATTAATAACTGTGTGTTACCTTTCTTTTAAAAGAATAGAAAGCAGAAATTTGGGGAACTTTATTACTATTCTGAAAGCGATTGGTTTAGTATAAAGTGGTTCTCTTAGCGGCCAGACACGATATAGTAAGTGGGAAATTGAGTTCTGAACACTCTCATTGGAGGTGTGGGGTTTTGCAGGTGCTAGTGCCCTCCGCTTGACAGGTGTCACGAAGCAGCACATGCACTGTCACTTCTGCTTGAGAAATGTGGGCACACACAGCTGTCAGTTTCGCCTGGCACTGCTGTGATACTGACACCTCTAGGCAATGACTTCTGTCACTCCTGCTTCCTACACCTCTGACCATCTCAGGAGAACTGTTTAGAAATAAGTACTTTAATACCATTGTCTTAGCTTAGTAAAAATAAAACACAAGCAAAAAGACAAGTGTAAGACTTGACTTTGAGTGTGGAAATGTGTCCGTTGCTCAGTAAATACAATGCAAATGCAATTGCATATTGGAGACAAAATCATCTGGTTAGGCAGAGAAAACCTCCTTTCATAGCTGATTGATTGTACAATGTTAGTTTAGGAGACAAAACTTAAGGCCACGAGTTTAGTTTAAGATAGTTTTGGAGAAGAAAGGACATCTTGTTCCCAAAAGGGGTATACTAATCTGCTGATATTTTTATAAAAACTTGATCAATTTCCTGAGGTGAACGATGCCAAGATTCTTCTGTTATCTATTAGTTACCCAAAAGAAAACCAGACTTTATTAAGTTTAGAAAGCTTCCCAAGACATGTTTTATTTCCCAGTTAAAATAATATTTAAAAGTTCCAAAATATGAAGCTTTGCTACTATCATCAGCATTTTAATCCTTTTCCCATAAAAAATTCAGTCCTCAAGAACTGATTTTTACCATTTGATTTTTAAAATTAAATTTTGCATTAAAAATAGGCCATTAGAGTATCTATTTTAATAAGCCAAAGGAAAAAATGTTGGTAAGGTAGACTAGTACTTCCAGTAGAACTCTTCATCTGTAAGAACCATTTAGGCAAGAACTATTTAGGCAGCCCCCTGCACGTAAATAGATCAGAGACGAGCCAGTCAGACAAGAGCATTTCCAGCTGGTGTCCCCGTCTTATTACAGGCTTCCTTAGAGGATGGGGGTAGCATGGAGAGGAGAGCTACATCTCAGCTGGGCAACAGGAGGGTAGCAGGGGGAAGCTGGGCTCTGAGGTCCCCAGGGACAGACAGCTGGACCTGTGCAAATCATAGGTTTTCTAGGTCAGTAGTATTTACAGTTAAATAAACTTCCTGGACTAGCCTGGCAAAGTAAACCTTCCTTTTTTGGATGATTTCTGTGGGTCAAACACATTTTGAATTGGCTTACAAACATTCCACCCCTACCTCCTGCCAGTCTCTTTGGGACTGGCACCTCCATCCACCCAGCTTCCCAGCTGAGAAACCCAGCCTGGACACTTTACTCCCGTGCCCCCTGCTGTGCTGTGATGGCATCTCCCCGCTGTACTCACCACAGAGCTCCCATCCAGACAATCTTCAGGGGGCATTAAGTCCACATCATTGCTCTCTCCTGAAGCTGACTGTCTTTCCCAGACCACTGTTAACACCTTTGCCCAGCTCCTGTCTCCTCGTGTGCCAAAGGGTCATTCCTTTACCCCACCCATCCACTCTCCTGCTGCACCCAGAATGGCTGTCCAGTGCTAGCATCTGATTGTGGCACTCCTGTTCTTGGCATTTCTTTGTGGCTACTGACTGCCTCCTGTGTAACAGCGGAATTCCTTGGCGGGGCACTCAGTCTGGACTGAGCTCCTGCAGGGAGGCAGGACTGCATTCTCATTGCCTGGGATACAACCACAATTTGTTGAATGAATGAATATGTGAGCTTTTTTTCTAGGCTTAGGAGTGTCTGCATTTTATAATACAGATGTTCCTTGACTTATGACAGAGTTACACCCCTAAAATGCATTTAATACACCTAACCTACTGGCAATTCATAGCTTAACCCCGCCTACCTCACATGTGCTCAGAACCCTTACATTAGCCTGTAGTTAGGCAAAAGCATCTAACACAAAGCCTATTTTATGGTGAAGTGTTGAATATCTCTTGCAGTTTCTTGAATACTGAAGTGAAGAGCAGAGGGGTTGTATGGGTACTTGACAGTTTCTACGGAATACATATCACTTTTGTACCACTGTAAAGTCAAAAAATCCTAAGTTTAACCATTTAAGTTGGGGATCATTATACTTATTTGTGTATGTATAAGTAGTGAGTGGAATGTGTCAGGGGAGCAGTAGGAATTGCTAACTCATTTCAAAATCTATCTTCTTAGTGCCATGTATACAGATGATTTTTTTTAATGTATCGAGGTGAAGTTTGCATAACATGAAATTAAAGTGAACAATTCAGTGATATTTTAATACACTCACAGTGTTATACAGCCTCGTCCATTTGGTTCCAAAACATTTTCATCTCCTGCAAAGGAAACCCCTTACTGGTAAAGTTGCTGTTCCCTGCAGCAACCCGAGATAAATGCAGGTGAAGGTTAGTTTGGCTAGAGTCAGACTTTCAATCATATCTAGGTTTCTCTAATGATTTAGTAACTGATCCGTGTTTTAGGAGAGTTCATCCTGAGAGCGTGTTGCTCTTGGCTTCTCAGTGGGTTGAGCACTGCTGCGATATGACTTGGAGCACAGTTCTCTCTGTAAGTTAAGAGTTTCATCTCGTGGACCTGAACTTGGCCAGGAATGTGTATCCTCCCAGCAGCCAGTTTTTATAGGTAAACCAGCTCCACAAACTCAGTTGGCTTGTGTAAAAAACTATAACATGTTTGAGAAATAATTTTAAAAGCAGGTCTTTATTTGAAGTAATGTAAGAGAATTCTGCTCTGTAGGAGTATGTACTAATTAATTGAGATCTCTGGCATAGTTTTTATTTTTATTTTATTTTATTTTTTATTTGTTGAGATGGAGTCTCGCTCTGTTGACCAGGGTGGAGTACAGTGGCACAATCTCGGCTCACTGCAACCTCCACCTCCTGGATTCAAGCGATTCTCCTGCCTCATCCTCTCAAGTAGCTGGGATTAGAGGCGCCCATCACCACGCCCAGCTAATTTTTGTATTTTTAGTAGAGATGGGGTTTTGCCATGTTGGCCAGGCTGGTCTCGAACTCGTGATCTCGGGTGATCTGCCTGCCACGGCCTCCCAAAGTGCTGGGATTACAGGCATGAGCCACTGCGCCTGGCCTCTCTGGCATACTTAAAAACCCACTTCAGACCTAGGTTATAATCTGTATGACCTTGAATGAGAAACCTAATTTTTCACTGCCCTGATTTCCTTGACTACAAAAACACATGAATTGGGAATCTCTCTGGACCTCCTCAATCCAAGCTGTACTGCTAGGATTTTAGTCTTAAATTTCTTCCCTATTATCAAAATAAATTGTACTTACTCATTTTAGGAAATGACCAAAATATAAAAAGGGGAAAAAGTTGGCAAAAATGGCCCTACCAATTAAGGACAACCACTGTTAGCATTTTGGAGTATGTCTTTTTTTTTAAATTATCCATTTTTAAAAAAGCAGTATACAAATAACACAAATACATCCTGATCATAAAAGATCCAAACACTTACAAAGGGTTGTGAGTAAAAAGATGAAAGGTGTCTGCTATTGCCGTTCTTGTCCCTAAGGCAGCACCCTTCCTACTGGTTGTGATTTTCCTGTATGCTTTTCTGTCCTTTTTAGACAAGTGGTGGGGTCATTACAATTTTCTTTTTTAGCTCAGTTGGGATAATTCTAGGCTTATTGTTTTATAACTTTTTAAAAACAGTATTTCTTGGAGTTTTTTTTTAATTAGTACATCAGCTAGCTATTTATTTATTTATGTATTTATTTAGAGTCGATGTCTTGCTCGGTCACCCAGGCTGGAGTGCAACCCCCACCTTTCATGTTCCAGCAGTTCTCCTGCCTCAGCCTCCTGAGTAGCTGGGACTACAGATGTGCAACGCCATGCCTGGCTTATTTTTGTATTTTTAGTAGAGACGGGGTTTCACTGTGTTGGCCAGCTGGTCTCGAACTCCCGACCTCAGGTG